>NC_000017.11:8672929-8824444 GCF_000001405.40 Homo sapiens | reverse complement strand
GGATGAGATCAACTCTGAGCTTCCTTCTAGCCCTGACACTATCACATTCTATGTAGATGTTCTGAAAACCCAGTCACTATGCTTTATCATCATATGGGACCAGGGAAGGACTGGAGGACAAGACGCATAGTCCATTCCCAATAACACGCAAACCTGAATTGTTTTATTTTATTTTGAGATGGAGTTTCGCTCTTGTTGCCCAGGCTGGAGTGCAATGGCACAATCTTGGCTCACTGCAACCTCCGCCTCCTGGATTCAAACGATTCTCCTGCCTTAGCCTCCTGAGTAGCTGGGATTACAGGAATGTGCCACCACATCTGGCTAATTTTGTATTTTTAGTAGAGATGAGGTTTCTCCATGTTGGTCAGGCTGGTCTCGAACTCCTGACCTCAGGTGACCCGCCCACCTCAGCCTCCCAAAGTGTTGAGATTACAGGTGTTGAGCCACCACACCCAGCCAATTAGTTTATTAATAGATGCAGAGACCACCAGAGCTGAAAGAGACATCAGATCATCTGGTTCAACCTCTCATTTTCTGTAGAAGGACACTCGGGCCTCATAGAGTTTGAATAACTTGCCCACGCCTGCTTGGCCAATGGCAAGTAGCCCATCCGAGCCTAGAACCCACTCCTGGGTCTCTCATTAGATTCACTCTCCAGCATCTTGTCTCCCTCAATCACTTAGCACAGTGCCTCACACATAGCAGCGCTCAGTAGTCTCTGTAGGATTGAAATCAGTCGGATTCCCTAGGGAGGCAGGGCTCTGGACAGGAATATTTTGATTGGGAGTGGAAATTCAGTGGTAGGAAAGGTTTGGAATGTGTTGAAGGACGCACTGGGTTAGTGCATCCCAGAGATGTAGGGGCTTGAAGTTTCTCTCTGAAGAAAATGGCATCTCCCACAGTGGCCTTGGGGGAGTTGGTGAAGACATTCCCTGTCTCCATCACAGCCTCCTTCCCTGGACACATCCCGGACTGTGGACCCCTTCATCCTAGACGTCATCACCTACTACATCCGCATGGGCACCCAACCCATCTATTTCCAGATCTACACAGTCAAGGTAAGCATCCCACTGGAGGCTCCAAGGGACCCCAGGACCCCACCGATTAAATACCCAGGCTCTGGGGAAACACTGGTCACCAGGCCACCAATCATGAACACACCCAGACGCTCTTGGTTATTAACGTTACCTTCTTCATCTCTAAATGAATCAGATCATTATTAACTTCAAGACCTCAAATCCAAGAAGTAGGTCTTCTTTATGTGGAAGGGTTCTCCATGGCCCTGGATCCCTGGAAATCAGGGATAGAGTGATTTGGAAATCACACCAGGAAATGCCACCCTCCCTTCCTCTCTCCAGATCTTTTTCAGTGACCTGAGCCAAGACCCTACTGAGGACATTTTCCTCATTGAACTGAAGGTGAAGATCCAAGATTCTAAATTCCCCAAAGGTAAGCATCTGCCTCCCTTTTGCCAAAGGTCACCCTGACTCAGCTTCTCCAAACTCTCATCCTTCCACCTCTCACCTGATGATGCCTGCACGCCCACACCCTCAGTGCTTGTCCCTGCTCTGTTCCCTACCTCTGCTGAATGCCAAGGCTGCTCTTGATCCCCTCCAACCCCCACAAGACTGAAAGGCATCCTGGCCCCCGGAGGTGTCACCTTTCCATCCAGGGAGATGGATGGATGGGTAAACCCAGCAGCTCAGCTCCTGCCCTCAGAGAGGTGGGGAAGTTAGGGCAAGAGGCCTGGGAACCTCCACCCCAAGCCTCTTCTCATCTCCCCACAGATGGCTTTTCACCCAGGAGGAGAGGCGTGGCTGAGGGCCCAGGGGCAGAGCTCTCCCTATGCTACCAGAAGGTCAGTGTGCATGGACGTGGTCAGTAGGTAGCCAAGAGGTACAGCTGGAGGGAGCAGGCCTCTGGGACAAGCAGGGAAGCAGATAGAGCCAAAGGAAGCTTCTGCCCCTTTTCTTGAAGCTGCCCGCAGAGTTCCCCAGCCTTCAGGGAGTTTTGCAGGGATGGGTGGGTTAAGTTGGCCTTACATGTAGACCAGGAGGTGATCAGATTTAAGGAACAAGGGGGCTGACCCCTTGCTAAAAAATATCTTCCTTGCTAGCTGACCAGAGGCTTGAACTGATTTCACTGGAGATTTATTCTTTGGGGTCTGGAAGGCTGAACATACTCTCTAGGACTAGAAGTGCTTTAAGCCTTTATCTGCTAGCACTTATGGGACCTTAGTGACATAGACAAAACCGGGTCTGGCACCGTGGCTCATGCCTGTAATCCCAGCACTTTGGGAGGCTGAGGCAGGAGGATCACTTGAGCCCAGGAGTTCAAGACCAGCCTGGGCAACATAGTGAAACCCCCTGGCTCAAAAAAAAAAAAAAAAAAAGACTCTCACAGCAGGGGTGGAAAACAGGGGAGAGAGGCAAGACTGTGGATGTGGGGATGCATGGGGAAAGGGTATGTCCTGAGCACCTCCACCTGTTCCTCGATCCCCCTCCTCAGGCCTTGCTTAGCCACCGGCCCCGAGAGGTCACCGTTTCCCTGCGGGCCACTGGGCTGATCCTGAAGGCCATTCCAGCCAGCGACACAGAAGGTGAGGAATGGGGAATGCAGAGCAAAGAAAGAGAGAAGAGATGAGAAGGGCAATGCTGGGGAGAGGGCAGAGTGGCAGGAGAAGGGGGAGCCCTCTCAGTCACGGAACTGGAGCCAGGACCAGGACTTGGTGACTGCCTTCAAGTTGCTTGCTGTCGGGTCACCCAGACTCTAGCACTGGCCACTGGATTGAGCCTCAGCAGCCTGCTGAGACATAGCTGGAAGGTGGAGGGACTCCGGGGAGGGGTTGCAGTTGGCCTCCTGCCACGGAATTGGGACTGCAGGACTAGTTGTCTTCTGTTTGGAAATTTAGGACTTTGACTGTCATTCCAAAAAAAATGGAGACAATAGAAAATGCCAATTTATGTGCATATAGTAAATTATAAATATTAGCTCATATTGTGAGCTCCCTGGTCTCCTGGAATAATGCAAAGGATGGCGATACGGATTATGAATATTGCAAACAAACACCAGAGGCCAGGCAGTGAAGCTTGTGAACCCTAGAAAATAGATACTATTAGTATTAGTAACTTTTTACTGGAGAGGAAATGGAAGGAAAGAGAATAACACACCCAACATCACCTCTGTGAGGAAGAATCAGAACTGGAATTCAAACCCAGGTATTCTCATGCAAGAGCCTATGTTCCTTACCACTGCCTCCCCCGGGATTGCCAAATCTCAACAGACTAGACTTAGGGGATGTTATCCGGTGATGCTTGTAGAAGATCATTTTGGAGCAAACAAGTAAGTTCACCCAGGCAGAATTATATCTTGTTCACCATCTATTCCCTTTGTCCATGACATGTCCTGGCATGTGGTAGATACTTGATCAATATTTCTAGAATAAATGAAATGCTACTTTACATTCAAAAATTTGTTTTAAAAATGGATGAACACATTTGGAATATTCCAGAAGAAATACGGAATGAAAATACACATAAGCCAGGCTGGAATGCTCATGAGGAAGCCAACTCTGATCCCTCCTCTCCTATCCAACCACGAGTATTTACTCCATCTCTGAAATCCACTGTGGCTTTGCTAGCATTCCAATTAAGGCGCCTTTCTGACAATAATGCATTTGTGTTCATAAGTGGGCATCATAGCTTCACAATTTCCTTAGCATCTGGCACAAAGAAGAAACTCAAGAAATTATATCACTTCCTAATAAAATTGCTTCCAGGCAAGTTGAATTTGTGGATGACATATAAAACTCCATCACAGCAGGACACTCTTTACCTGCAGCTCTTTAACACCATGAAGGAGACGCATAATTGTGGCAGTAGCTCTTAACCTAGAAGTGGCTCAGGAGCAGACCATCAAGGGCGCGGTGCCAGGGCCAGATGGGCAGGTCTCACACCCCAGCTTTGCCGCTGACTATCTATGTGACCTTAGATGTGTGAACTGTGTCCTCTCTACCTGTTTTTTTTTTCTAAAATGGAGATAATAAGTAGCTACTAATTTGTGTGCATAGAGTAAACGATAAATGTTAGCTCTTATTGTTCAAACTATATTCCTTCCATTTCTCTCACAGACTCTCCCCACTCCCAGCCCTACTCTAGACCCTATCAGAACCAGTCTGATGATGCCAGCACCCTCGGTAGAGCAGACTTCTACAAACCCTCTTTAGTTGGCAGGGAGGGACGAAGCCTACCAGCAGGCACACAGTGATGATTTTTGACACATTATACTCTATTAAGCAACCCTGTCTCTACTAAAAATACAAAAAAAAAAAAATTAGCCAGTGTGGTGGAGCCCGCCTGTAATCCCAGCTACTTGGGAGGCTGAGGCAGGAGAATTGTTTGAACCTGGGAGGCAGAGGTTGCAGTGACCGAGATCATGCCACTGCACTACAGCCTGGGCAACAGAGTGAGACTCTGTCTCAAAAAAAAAATATATATATATATAAAAATATATATATATATATAAAATATATATATGTATGTATACACATATATACGTGTGTGTGTATATATACATATATATGTGTGTCTATATATACATATATATGTGTGTGTATATACGTATATATGTATATACGTGTGTGTCTATATATACACATATATATGTGTGCGTATATATACATATATACGTGTGTATGTATATATACTTATATATGTGTGTGTATATATGTATATATATGTGTGTGTGTGTGTGTGTATATATATATATATATATGCACAAAAAAATAATAATAAAAAAAGAAAGTAAAAGAAACCTTGACCTGTTGGCACTGATGCCCTCCTCACCCACTTGGAGCCTCTGTCCTGCACAACATCCCTGGGCAGGTGCTTCTTTCATTCTTAGCATGCCCAAGAGCTGCAGGAAGTTCAAGAGAACTTCTAGAATTTTATTCCTTTTAAAAAGGGTTGCAGGAGGAGATAATGAAAGGGTAGGGCGTGCGGATTTGGGTTGGTGATGGCCGCTGACCTGAGGATACAGAAACTTGTGGATTCACCAGGGAAGGAAGATGGATGATTGAGAAGGAAACGTAACTTGGCTGGGACCAAGCAGATTCAGAAAGTGGGGGCCCAAGGAGGAGTGACAGGGCTGGGGGTGTCAAGATGGGTTCCTGGAGATCTTGAGACCTAGAATATCAAACTCCCCTACTTCCCTGGAGGTCCATTTACAGCCCCACCCATCTCATTCAGTTTCAGGGTCTAGCCATTGCCCCCTGCCTGCTGCTCCTGTCACAGACCACACATGTCTGAATGTCAACGTGACAGAGGTTGTCAAGTCCTCCAACTTGGCGGGAAAGTCCTTCTCTGTAAGTACTGAGTAGACTGGGAAAGGGAGACAGCCAGCTGGGACAGCAGTAGGTGGCTGGGAGCCCAGAGGGGAGGGCATTCAGAGAAGGGAACTGACTTCCCAGCCTTTCTGAGCCTTTGCTATTGGAGTGGGTCTTCCTGTTGGAAGGAATCCGCTTTTCAATCAGTCTGTTTGAAGTGCAGAGTGCCCACTGGTATAAGGAAAGCACTTTAAGAGTCAAAGCCCTGCCCTCCATCTGCTGACCATTTGAGGACCCAAGACATACCCAGATGACTGCAAAATGCACCTATGTCCAGTCATCCCAGCCACCACACCACAGCCAGACTCCTAAACAACAACAGCCCAATCTGTGGCCAAATCAGACCAGCTCTCTCAATCCCCTTACCCTTTGCCCTTTAGCCTTTGCTCATATCAACAATTTTTTTTTTCCTCAAGACGGAGTCTTACTCTGTCACCCAGGCTGGAGTGCAGTGGTGCAATCTTAGTTCACTGCAACCCCCGCCTCTCAGGTTCAAGCAATTCTCCTGCCTCAGCCTCTCCAGTAGCTGGGACTACAGGCGTGCACCACCTCGCCCAGCTAATTTTTGTATTTTTAGTAGAGACAGGGTTTCGTCATGCTGACCAGGCTGGTCTCGAATTCCTGACCTCAGGTGATGCACCTGCCGCAGCCTCCCAAAATGCTGGGATTACAGGTGTGAGCCACCACGCCTGGCCAGTACTTACTGATACAGACATAAGACTATCCATTTCCTCTCTACCCAGTGGCCTCTCTGGACTTCACTTCCCCACTTAGCTTGGCTTTGGTGCCCCATGATTGCGCCTGAACCATGTTCTCACTGATGTCCTCACTCCCATGCACCACCCAGCAGGCTTACGCACCGATTTAGGTCAAGCCACCTGCTTAGTCTGTATGCCCAGGTGGCCAAGTGCTTCTGGAATAACCCTGCATCCACATTGATTAGATCCACAGCAAACTCATGACCTCCCGCTCACGCGGATCCTTGGGATCACTCAGCCCTTTCCTCCCCCTCCCCCTCCAGGCTCTTCTCTATCTGTTTGCAGTTCTCTTTCCCCAGCTTTGACCTCTTCCTCTCCACTGCTCCTTCCGCTTAGCCTACACATGCTCAGGTCTTTTCCATCTTAAAAGAAAAAAAAAAGGAAAAAAAAAAAAACAACTCTGCCATGACCCAACTACCTCTCTAGCTACCCACTGCATCTCTTTCCTTCCCTTCTCAAGTCAAGCTCCTTGAAAAGTACTTCTAGAAGAGTTTCCAGCCCCTTATCAATAACTCTTCTACCCACGACCACCTGGTTACACATGTCCTGCTGTGGCAAAGTCACCTCCATGTTGCCAAAACCAGTGGTCACTATTTAGCCCTTATATTTCTTTATCTTTTAAAATAATGTTTTTGTTTTTTTTGTTTTGTTTTGTTTTTTTTCGAGACGGAGTCTCACTCTGTCACCAGGCTGGAGTGCAGTGGCGCAATCTCGGCTCACTGCAACCTCCGACTCCCTGGTTCAAGTGATTCTCCTGCTTCAGCCTCCTGAGTAGCTGGGATTACAGGCACATGCCTCCATGCCCAGCTAATTTTTGTATTTTTAGTAGATACGGGGTTTCACCATGTTGGCCAGGATGGTCTCGAACTCCTGACCTCATGATCCACCTGCCTTGGCTTCCCAAAGTGTTGGGATTACAAGCGTGAGCCACCATGCCTGGCCAAGATAATGTTTTAACCTATAAACAAAAGTTTCATTATTTATTTTGGAAAATATAAAAAAAGCACAAAAAGTACTTTCACTAGTAGTCCCAATCCCTGGAGAGAATGACTATTAACATTTTCAGGTGTAATCACCAATCCTTTTTTTCTAGATATTTTAAGATAATTGATAGCTACACTACATACTGGTCTATACCTTGGTGATTTTAACTCAAAAATATACTAAAGCCTTGTAAATAGGTCTTGATGGGACATTGCTTTGGTATTAAATATGTTTTGTGTCATTAAGCATATGTCAGTATTTATTATATGATGGTTGCATATACCTGTATAATTATGTAAATAAATTCTAAGACGACATTTAAGTAAGTTCTCATTTTTCACTATTACAAGCGTAGTGTGAGCAATTTCCTTAGGGGTAAGTATGTGCTAAAAATCATGGTTATGTCTTTTTAGAAGAATGCCTAGAAGTGAAATCATTCAGTCAGGTGGCATCCTTTTTATATATTTTGCCAAATTGCCCTCTAGAAAGTCTATACCAAGTTCCAATCTGATTGTAGTGTTTGAGTGCCAATTTTTCAGCACAATTCAGATAGTGATTGATTTTTTCATCTTCACAAATTTGATGATCAAACTTTTCATTGTTTTGTTTCTTTTATTACCAATTAGTGAAATTGAATACTTTCTTGTATTTCTATTTCTTCATTCTTACATTTCCTATTTGTATTCTCATCCCATACTAATATCCTATTTTGTAGTGTGAGGACATTAACCCCTTATTTGTCATAAATTTTGGAAATACTTTTCCCGCTTTGTCTTTTGATGCTTTTTTAACCTAAAATAGCCTTATATTGTGATGTTGCAAAATCTACTAATCATTTTCCTTTAATGATTTCTGACTCTGATATGATTAAACATTATATATGTCTAAAGACCATATTTCCTTGAATTTAAGGCATACCACAATTTTACATACTACTAAGAAAGAAACAATGCTTCCTAAACTATGGACAATGCTCTCTTATCACATTGGTTGCAAAATACTCCCTAATTAGAGATGTTAAAATGTGTTTTAGAATCAATGAAAATGGCATGCCTGTTTAATAGTAGTATGCTGTTCCTTCCTTGTGGTTTTATTCTTTCTTTTATTTCTTCACTCATTCTAAACATATTTATTTTATAATCTGATTTATGTAATTACATTATCTGTAATTACTGGGAGTCTAATCCTTCTGTTTATTGGGTTCACTGACCCCCTCCCCACAGTAGCTTGTTTTTCAATTATGAGTTCATATTTCTTGGGGCTTTATCTGTGAGGAAACTGGGTGGAAAAATTTTCCTTCTAGAGAAATTCTGAATTTGTTTTTGCCAACAGCCTCAGAGATGTTATCAACTCAGGACCATATTTTGAGTCCAGTTTTGGCTGAGAAATTGCCAGACCACGAAGATAGTGTACATGTGTACCCCAAATTCACATCTGGATGGGCTTGTAGATAAAAATTTCCAGGAAAGACTTGCCTTCCTCACTCATCGCACAAGCCAAAGCAGACGGGCTTTTTTCTGTGGTCTTCCCTATTTCTGTGTTTGTTTGTTTGTCTGTTTGTGTCTTTTGTTTTATTTTGCTTTCTAGTCTTTCACTGAGCTTGTAGCCTTCAAGAGTCCCTGCTTCACATAACCCCACACCATTGCCTCCCATCCCCACGTGGCTATTTAAACCCAAACCCTTTGATTCCTGAGTTTATTAGCAAATGCTCCTAGGACGGCCAAAGCATCTGACTTACACAATTTCAACTTCTTTGGAATGTATTGACATTTTCTTTGTTGCCTGGTACGTGATCAACCTTTTTTTTTTTTTTCTGAGACTGAGTCTCACTCTGTTGCCAGGTTGGAGTGCAGTGGTGAGATCTCGGCTCACTGCAACCTCTGCCTCTCAGGTTCAAGCGATTCTCCTGCCTCAGCCTCCCAAGTAGCTGGGACTACAGGCGTGTGCCACCACACCGTGCTAATTTTTGTATTTTTAGTAGAGATGGGGTTTCACCACGTTGGCCAGGATTGTCTCTATCTCTTGGCCTCGTGGTCCGCCTGCCTTGGCCTCCCAAAGTGCTGGGATTACAGGAGTGAATGATCAACTTTTTAATATTCAATGGCAACTAAAAATACATGTTTGTTTTCTATCTATAGAATATATAAAGTATGAAGTTTAATTATTAAATCAAACATATTATATTACTGTAGTCTACAAATTTAAAATATTTTTTGTCTACTTCATCTGGCCAAAACTGAGAGAGGTTTGTGGATGTTCCTGCTATGGTTTTGATTTTGTCGATTCTGTCTGGATTTCTTTGAATGTGAACTTTCTTTTAGTTTTTGATGCTGCTGTTGTATAATATGGTGCCTTCTTATGCCTAGTCTTTGTATGAGACTTTTTTTTCTTTTCTCTCTCTCTTTGGAAGCCATAAATACTAAATTTCAGAGAAGATTCTGAATGTCACAAGAATATACCTTGGTGGGATCTTTTTTCATTCATCATTTTGGACCTTTGATGGACAATTCTCAATCTGGAGACTCACATCTTTCAATTCTCAGATATTTTCTAATACAATCTTTAAAATAATTTCCTTCCCTTCATTTCTTTGCTTTCTCTTTCTGGAACTATGAATAGTAGGATGTTTGACCTCCTAAATTAATGCTCTAATTTTCTCATCTTTTTTCTCCCATTGTCCTTCTTTGTCATTTCTTCAATTTTGGGGGAGTTTTCTTCAAATTCATTTTTTGAAAATTTAGGCTATTTAAGGACTCTTTCTTGTTTTATGGTTATTTGTTGTCTCTCCTAATATGGTCTCTTGACTGGGCACGGTGGCTCATGCCTATAATCCAAGCACTTTGGGAGGCAGAGGAGGGCGGATCACGAGGTCAGGAGATCGAGACCAGCCTGGCCAACATGGTGAAACCCCACCTCTACTAAAAATACAAAAATTATCTGGGCATGGTGGTGCATGCCTGTAATCCCAGCTACTTGGGAGGCTGAGGCAGGAGAATCATTTGAATCTGGGAGGCGGAGGTTGCAGTGAGCCGAGATCACGCCATTGCACACCAGCCTGGGCAACAGGGTAAGACTCTGTCTCAAAAAAAAAAAAAAAAAAAAAAGATCTCTCTCTGAACTAAAGAGTGGAGCACTAAAAACCTGGGTCAATGGTGGGCTTCTCAGTGGGCAGTCAGAAGCCCATGGTTCTTTCTGTGGGGGGATCCCAGATGTCAGTATCTGCAAGTCTCTTTGCTAGGATAGTTTTGTTTTTCCAGAAATGAGTCCTCTGGGCTCCTGCCTCAGCGAGTAAAGGGGGCCAGGGATGAGGGGTGGGTAAGCCTGCTTATTATGCCTGTCACTCTGGAGCTGGGATAATTTCACTTTCTCTTTTCCAATTTGGATGCCTTTTATTTCTTTCTCTTTTCTGACTGCTCTAACTAGGACTTCTGTTATGTTGAATAGGAGTAGTGACGGTGGGCATCCTTGCCTTATTCCAGTTCTTAGAGGTAATGCTTTCAATTTTTCCCCACTCAGTGTGATGTTGACTGTGGGTTTGTCATATATGGCTTTTATTATTTTGAGATATGTTCCTTCTATTGCTACTTTGGTAAGGGCTTTTATCATGAAGAGATGCTGGATTTTATGAAATGCTTTTTCTGAATTTATTAATACAATTGCATAATTTTTGTTTTTAATTATGTTTATGTGGTGAGTCACATTTATTGATTTGTGTATGTTGAACCAACCTTGCATTGTTGGAATAAAACTCACTTGATTGCAGTGCATTATCTTTTTGATTCACTGTTGAATTTGGTTTGCTAGTACTTTGTTGAGGATTTTTGCATCTATGTTCATCAGGCATATTGGTCTATAGTTTTTTTTGTTGTTGTTGTGTTCTTGCCTAGCTTTGGTATCAGAGTGACTGACCCTGGCTTCATAGAATGAATTAGGGAGGATTCCCTTCTTCTCAATGTTTTTTGAACGGTGTCAGTAAGATTAGTATCAGTTCTTCCTTGTATGTCTTGTAGAATTCCACTGTGAACCCATCTGCTCCTGAGGTTTTTTTTAATTGAGAGTTTTTTTTATTACTAATTCAATTTCATTACTCATTATTGGTGTGTTCAAGATTCTATTTCCTCTTGGTTCAATCTTTGGAAGTTGTATGTTCCTAGATAAATGGAATTTATCCATTTCCTCTAGATTTTCCTGTTTGTGTGCATAGAGATGCTTATAGGTCTCTGATGATCTTTTGCATTTCTGTTGTATCAATTGTAATGATACCTTTCTCATTTCTGATTGTGCTTATTTGATTCTTCTCTCTTTTTTTCTTGGTTAACTTAGCTAGTGGTCTATCAATTTTGTTTATCATTTCAAAGAACCAATTTTTCATTTCGTTGATCCTTCGTATTTTTTTGTCCCAATTCCATTTAGTTCTGCTCTGATCTTTGTTATTTTCTTCTGCTAGCTTAGGGTGTGGTTTGTTCTTATTTTTCTAGTTCCTTGACATGCAACATTAGGTTATTGATTTGAGATCCATCTTTTTTATATAGGCATTTAACACTATAAACTTCCCTCTTAGCACTGCTTTTGATGTACTCCAGAGGTTTTGGTATGTTGTGTCTCTATTTTCATTCATTTCAAAAATTTTTTTATTTCTGCCTTAATTTTATCATTGATGCAACAATCATTCAGGAGCAAATTATTTAATTCTCATGTATTTAAATAGTTTTGAGGGTTCCTCTTGGTGTTGATTTCTAGTTTTATTCCACTGTGGTCTGAGAAGTTACTTGATATGACTTCAGGTTTTTAAAAAATTTATTGAGACTCACCTTGTGGTCTAGCATATGGCCAATTTTTGAGAATGTTCCATGTGCAAATGAGAAGAATTACATTTTGCAGTTGTAGAGTAGATTGTTCTGTAAATGTCTGTTAGGTCCATTTGGTCTAGAGGCCAATTTAAGTCCAGAGTTTCTTTGTTGATTTTCTGCCTTGATAATTTGTCTAGTGCATCAATGGAGTACTAAAGTCTCCCTCTATTATTCTATTGGTGTCTGATGTGGTTTGGCTGTGTCCACACCCAAATCTCATCTTGAATTCCCACATGTTGTGGGAGGGACCCAGTTGGAGGTAATTGAATCATGGGGGTAGGTCTTTCCTGTGCTGTTCTTGTGATAGTGAATAAGTCTCACAAGATCTGATGGTGGTATAAGAAGGAGTTTCCCTGCACAAGCTCTCTTTTTGCCTGCTGCCATCCATCTAAGATGTGACTTGCTCCTCCTTGCCTTCTGCCATGATTGTGAGGCCTCCCCAGCCATGTGGAACTGTAAGTCCATTAAACATCTTTCTTTTGTAAATTTCCCAGTCTCAGGTATGTCTTTATCAGCAGTGTGAAATGGATTGAGTAAATTGGTACCAGTAGAATGGGGTGCTGCTGAAAAGATACCTGAAAATGTGGAAGCAACTTTGGAACTGGGTAACAGGCAGAGGTTGGAACAGTTTGGAGGGCTCAGAAGAAGACAGGAAAATGGGAAAGCTTGGAACTTCCTAGAGACTTTTTGAATGGTTTTGCCCAAAATGTTGATAGCGATATGGACAATAAAGTCCAGGCTAAGGTGGTCTCAGATGGAAATGAGGAACTTGTTGGGAACTGGAGCAAAGGTGACTCTTATATTTTAGCAAAACTGGTGGCATTTTTGTGGAACTTTGAACTTGAGAGATATGATTTAGGGTATCTGGCAGAAGAAACTTCTAAGCAGCAATGCATTCAAGAGGTGACTTGGGTGCTGTTAAAGGCATTCAGTTTTATAAGGGAAGCAGAGCATAAGAGTTTGGAAAATTTGCAACCTGACAATGCAATAGAAAAGAAAATCCCATTTTTTGAGGAGAAATTCAGGCTGGCTGTAGAAATTTGCATAAGCAATGAGGAGCCAAATGTTAATCCCCAAGACAATGGGGAAAATGTCTCCAGGGCATGTCAGAGGTCTTCACAGCAGCCTCTCCCATCACAGACCCTGAGACCTAGGAGGAAAAAATGGTTTCATGGGCTGGGCCCAGGGTACCCGTGCTGTGTGCAGCCTAGAGACTTGGTGTCCTGCATCCCAGCTGCTCCAGCCATGGCTGAAAGGGACCAATGTAGAGCTCGGGCCATGGCTTTAGAGGGTGCGAGCCCTAAGGCTTGGCAGCTTTCATGTGGTGTTGAGCCTGCAAGTGCACAGAAGTCAAGAATTAGGGTTTGAGAACCTCCATCTAGATTTCAGAGGATATATGGAAATGCCTGAATGCCCAGGCAGAAGTTTGCTGCAGGGGCAAGGCCCTCATAGAAAACCTCTGCTAGGGCAGTGCAGAAGGGAAATGTGGGGTCAGAGCCCCCATGCAGAGTCCCTGCTGGGGCTAGGAGCTGTGAGAAGAGGGCCACCATCCTCCAGACCCAGAATGATAGATCCACTGACAGCTTGCACGTGTGCCTAGAAAAGCTGCAGACACTCAACGCCAGCCCATAAAAGCAGCTGGGAGGGAGGCAGAACCCTGCAAAGCCATAGGGGCAGAGCTGTCCAAGACCATGGGAACCCACCTCTCACAACAGTGTGACCTGGATGTGAGACATGGAGTCAAAGGAGATCATTTTGGAGGTTTAAGATTTGACTCCCCTTCTGGACTTCAGACTTGCATGGGGCCTGTAGCCCCTTTGTTTTGGCCAACTTCTTCCATTTGGAATGGCTGTTTTCACTCAATGCCTGTACCCCTGTTGTATCTAGGAAGTAACTAACTTGCTTTTGATTTTACAGGCTCATAAGCAGAAGGGACTTGCCTTGTCTCAAATAAGACTTTGGACTTTGGACTGTGGACTTTTCAGTAAATGCTGAAATGAGTTAAGACAGGGGACTGTTGGGAAGGCATGATTGGTTTTGAAATGTGAGGACATGAGATTTGGGAGGCGCCAGCAGTGGAATGATGTGGTTTGGCTGTGTCCCTACCCAAATCTGATCTTGCATTCCCACATGTTGTGGGAGGGGCCTGGTGGGAGGTAATTGAATCATGGGGACAGGTCTTTCCCATGCTGTTCTCGTGATAGTGGGTAAGTCTCATGACATCTGATGGTGATATAAGAAGGAGTTTCCCTGCACAAGCTCTCTTTTTGCCTGCTGCCATCCATGTTAGACGTGACTTTGCTCCTCCTTTGCCTTCTTCCATGATTGTGAGGCCTCCCCAGCCATGTGGAACTGTAAGTCCATTAAACCTCTTTCTTTTGTAAATTTCCCAGTCTCAGGTATGTCTTTATCAGCAGTGTGAAAATGGATTAATACAGTGGCTATCTCTTTGATCTAGTAGTATTTAGGAATCTGGGTGCTCCAGTGTTGGGTGCATATTTATTTAGAATTGTTATGTCTTCTTGTTGAATTGATCCCTTTATCATTATAGATGACCTTGTCTTTTTTTACTGTTGATTTAAACTCTGTTTTATCTGATATAAGTATAGCTACTCCTACTTGTTTTTGGTTTGATTTGTGTGAAATATCTTTTTCCACCCCTTAGAGTGTAAATGTCTTTAACAGTTAGGCAGATTTCTTGTATGCAGCATACAGTTGGATCCTGTTTTTCTTATCCATTCCACCAGCCCATATCTTATTGATCCCCCTACTTCAACCTCCTGAGTAGCTGAGACCACAGGTGCAAGCCACTATGCCCAGCTAATTTTTTAATTTTTTGTAGAGAAGAGGTTTCACTACGTTGCCCAGGCTAGTCTCAAATTCCTGGACTCAAGTGATCCTCCTACTTTAATGCCTGGAACTCAAGCATCCCAAAGTGCTGGGATTACAGGCATGAGCCACTGTGCCCAGCTGAGCCTATATCTTTTAAGTGGAGCATTTAGTCCCTTACATTTAAGGTTAGTATTGATATGTGAGGTTTTGTTCCTGTCATAATTATTACCTAGTTGCTTTGCAGTCTTGTGTAATTGTTTTATAAGACCTACATGTTTTATACTTTCTTGTGTTTTTATGACAATGAGTATCACCCTTTTCTTTCCATGTTTAGAAATCCTTTGAGCATTTCTTGTAGGACCTGTCTAGTAGTGACAAATTTCCTTAGTGTTTGCTTGTCTGGTAAATACTTTATTTCTCTTTCATTTATTAATTTAGTTTAGCAGGATACAAAATTCTTGGCATCTTTTTTTCTTTAAGAAGACTGAAAATAGAACCCCAGTCTCTTCTGGCTTGCAAGGTTTTGGGTGAGAAGCCTGCTGTTAGTCTGATGGGATTCTCCTTTTAGGCAATTAGACAAAATATGTATATTTGAAGTTATGTTTATATGTTAATACTCCAATGAAGCTGGCTTCTAGCACTGTCATAAATGTTTTCCCCAGTTTTATATTCCTTTGGTCAATTTTGAATGGAATTCCATCACTAGAGCTGAAGCCCTGTACTCTGAGTCTTTAAATACCCTAAAATCTATAAATTCAGAGACAACACTTTCTTATAGACTTTCTTCTACATGCCTGACTATTACTTGTTGGCCTCATTCCCTGAACTCCTTTTCCTAGATCCTTAAGTAGCTACTGTCCTCAATTTCTATCCATGGCTCACTTCTTTTTTCATTTCCTGGACTATCAAACTCACAAGGATTTAGTTCCATTTGTTAAGTCCTCCCAAATCTGTGTCTTCTGCCCTGACATTCATACCTGAGTTTTTGACTCCTGCATTGAACTAAGTTAGCATGATCTGGATGTCCCACAATACCACAAACTCAAGATATTAAAAATCAAAGCCAGTACTTTCTAATAGTTAAGAGCTCTCTAGAGCCAGATTGTCTGGATTCAGATCTTGCCTCTGCCATTTACCAGTTATATGATGTTAAGCAAGTTAATATCTCTGTGACTCAGTATCATTTTATAAAAAGGGGAGGCAGTCATTCCTCAGTATCCATGGGGATTATTTCCGGGACCCCCAAGGATACAAAAATCCATGGATGCTAAAGTCTCTTACTGTTGGCCTTTTGTATGTGCAGGTTCCACATATGCAGATATGGAGGGACAGCTATAATAACATTACCTACCTCATCCAGTTATGAGGATTGATTGTGGCATGCGAAGCTCTTAGAAGAGTGCTTGGCTAAAGTAAACATTATGTATGTGTTAGCAGTCATTTTTATTTCATCTCCTTCTTATATCTCCTGTCTCGTTTAATGGTACCATCATTAACCAATCACCTCTGCCGGAAACCCAGGAGTCATCCCTGGTGCCTCCTCTTCCTCACTTTCCTTTGTCCCGATGGAACACTTCTCAAATCTCTCCCTTCTTTGTCCTCTCTATTCTGGTCCAGCTTGGTTGGCCAACTGTCCCTGTTTGCCTGGGACTAAAGGGGTTTCTTGGACTTGGGACTTTAAGTGCTAACACCAGGAAAGTCCCAGGCAAATCAAGCAAGTTGGTCACCCCAAGTCTGACCTTCATCTATCTCCTTCCAGCTGGTCTCCCCGGCAATACTCTGATCCTCCTTAAGTCCACCTTCCTGCCCATGTTATTCCGTACTTAAAACTCCTCCATCTTCTCCCATTCTCCAGGGGCAGAAAAACTCTTCAGTGTTGCATAGCTTCACTCCCCTTCTTCTCCATCTGCAGCTTTGGGCACTCCCTGGAGGCTCTTCCCACCATGTGTTGGGAAGTGTTCCTGAAGTCACATCCCTGTGCCTTTGCTCACGCTAGTTGCCTGACCTGAAACCTCATTCCTCCCTTCCACCTGCCCACCTTCTTTTTATAATTTCTACTCATCCTACAAGTTGAGACTCAGGTGTCATCTCCCTCAGGAGGCCTTTCCTAATGCTTTTCCCCCTTCCTTCCACATCCTCCACCCTCCTCCCCTCACCTAGGTGAGCTAAGTGTACCACCTCTGTGCTCCCATAGGACCCTGGGGACACAGCTATGGAAACATTTGTGACACTATAAATGGCATGATCTTTGTATGTCAATGGCCTGCAAACTCCCTAGACTCAGGATCCTCATCTTAGCTGGTGTGGTGTCTGGCCTGCAGCAGGGCCTCACCGGATGTTTGTTGAGTCATCTAATCCACCTTCCACCTCATCCTAGATCTCAAGCCGGAACTGGAAGCTGACGCTTTCTGAGGCAGCCTATCCACTGTAGGAGAGTTCTGATTGGCTGAGAGGTCTGCCTTGAGCTGAAATCTGTCTTCGTATAGGGCAACCCCATATTGAAGTTTTAGGCTCCAAAGTGGACCTATTTACCCTTCTGTTGCATTTCCTCTTTCAAAGTTCCTTAAAGTGGTTTCTGTTTTTAATGACCTCTTTAAACAACCTGGTCAGGGGCTTTTTGAAAGTCTAAACTTATCACTTCAGCAAGTTCCCTTTTATCCCTACAGGGACTTGCTAGGGGAAAATTCCAGTAGCTGTGCTTTCCTCTCAGAACCAGGCAGGTCCACATACATGTTTTGTCCACATGGACTGGATGATAACCACTGAGGGGAAGCTCATGGTGAGCTGGAGTAAGAAGGCAGAGACAGCTTGAAGAATGGCATGGGGGCAAGGGCCTGTGGCTAGCTCAGTAAGTTTAAGGGTCAGATATGACCTTAGCTGGATTGGAAGTTTGAAATAGAACAGAAGTGGGAAATAAAGCAGAAACAGAAGAACTGGGGCTTTGGGGTATGTTGTTAGGCCACCAACAGAGAACAGGAGACAATTAGCAGCACTTTGCCCATTCCTTAGTCTTACAGAGAGTGGGATCCTTTGCAAATTCTGCATCTGGCCCTTTCCACTGGCTCCCATGGCTTCATTTATAGACTAAAATCTAAGACTCTTGTGCTCCTTATGGGCCAAAGCCAAGCAGGTAGAGTGTGTCTAGGTGTGCAGACCACAAAGGGAAATGAAAGGCATCTGCCCACACCGCAGGCAGGTGGGAGGAGGCCCAGAGACTGTGTGTGATTACCTAGAAGGTGGGGCTAGGTCCATGGGCAGGGCGTGGAGGCCCAAATCCTGCCAGAGACACCTAGAGCAGCCTGATGCTAAAGAAGGAACACCAAGTTGAGAGTCAGAGAGCTGGCCCCATGGCTACCACTGTGCAGGCTTCAGTGGGTCACATTCGATCCCCAGTCACCTAACCTATGGAAACCATGCATCTCTCTCACCAGGTGCAATCAGTTCAGGTGCAATTCCATTCATTATGGCAAATAGAACGTACCTGGCTTTCGCCCACCCTCCCCCAGCTCATGCAGGACTTCAGCCCCCTGCAGTCTCTCCAGGTATTTTTGGAGGGTCACAAGTGACATTCCAGTATCAACAATCATTCCATTAGCTGTCCAGTCAGTGCCTACTAGGTTCCACTGCCTGCCCCCCTGACCACAACCTTCCCACTGTGCCTGACAGCTCCAGAGCACAGAGCACTAAAGGTGCCACAGGCTCTTTTTCTTTTTTTTTTTTGAGACAGAGTCTCATTCTGTTGCCCGGGCTGGAGTGCAGTGGTGCAATCTCAGCTCACTGCAATCTCTGCCTCCTGGGTTCAAGCGATCCTCCTGCCTCAGCCTCTCAGGTAGCTGGGACTACAGATGCCCGCCACTACGCCTGGCTAATTTTTTTGTATTTTTGGTAGAGATGGGGTTTCACCATGTTGGCCAGGCTGATCTCGAACTCCTGACCTCAGGGGATCTGCCCACCTTGGCCTCCCAAAGTGCTACGATTATAGGCATGAGCCACCGCGCCCGGCCAAGGTGCCACAGGTTCTGTTGGCACCAGGGGAGAAGCCCCCTCTCCCCTGAGTGTTACCCTCTGTCATGGAGTTGCCCCGTCTTACAGAGGTTTTGTTAAATCTGTCTTTACTCACAGCTCACCCATTCAGACGCACAGGAGTCTATGCATAGCGGGGTGATAGGTGGGGGCTTGGCCTAGGGGACAAACCAAGAAGAGAAAGAACCCACAGTAGGTTCCCCTTCCCCTCTGACACCTGGGACTTCATTGCTGAGTCCATGAGTCATGCTTGGCTCCTTCTTGGAAAATTATAATTAATAAGAGTTCTTAACAGTGTCTTGGGCTCTGTTCCAAGCACTTAATATATACTATCTCATGTAATCTTCACAACAATCCTAAAAGGTAGCACAGAGAGATTAAGAAACATGCTTAAGGTCACACAGCTAGTAAGTGGCAGAACCGGGATTAGAGCCTGGGCAGCCTGGCTTAGAGACTATGCTCTTACCCTCCTCCCAGTGGATCCTCCATGGCCTGTCCACAGACTTCTGGCTGGCCTACCCCCATCCCCTAAAAGTTCAGCTGAAATGCCTGGACACGTGTGAACTCCTAGTTCAGGCTGCTGCTCGTGCCTCTGCTAGATGACACTGAACAACTCAGTGGCTGTTCTCAGCCCTGCCTACACTCAGGAGCTTTTTAAAAAATGCCCGTACCTGGGCTCAATTCTATGCCACTTGAATCAGAATCTCCAACATTATGTTTTTGAAAATTGATTCTTATGGGCAGCCAGGGTTAAGAACACTTGAATGAGATGGTCTCTGAGGCCTCTGGCAACTCCAGGGTTCTGTGGTTGTAAATTACCCAAAGTCTGTGTGTGGGATGAACCACAACCTCTGAAAGCTCCACCTGGAACCCACAATGCTCCAAGTTCTCTGCCCAATGGGAGGCGACCTCTCTGGAGCTGCTCCCTCAGGTCAGGAGTTATAAGGATGCCTGGGGGTGCTTTCCTTCGGCTTGGTCTGAGCTTGGGGTCTTTGGCTGCTTTCTAGACCCTCTGTGTCTGCAGCAGGTAAATAATGTTGTATGTGATTTAATGCTGAGAACCGGGGTCAAGACTTTTAAAACCCCTGAAATACTCCCCAAATTCCATATACATTAACACGTCTGTCATAGAGGAGGTGCTCGGAAAATGTTGAAGAAATCAACACTCGAGTTCAGGTAACTTGACAACCTGGCAAGCACTATCCACAGCATTCCCGTTTGTGTTCAAAATCAAGGACGGCAGGCTGGGAAAAGAACTGGAAGAACGATGTGAGATCCAAGGGCAAGGGCAGCCTAGAAGCAGTTTGTGCAGGGTTGTCACTCCTCAGTCACTTGCAGGAGGAGAGCTGGGGACCCCATGTGCTGGACTGAAGAAATACACCAGATTCCAGGGTAGGGCATGTTGGCAGGGCCACCTGTCGAGCAAAGGCAACACTCACACGTGCGATCTCTGTGCTGCAGACAGTGACCAACACCTTCAGGACGAACAATATCCAGATCCAGAGCCGGGACCAGAGGCTGCTGACACTGTCGCTGGACAAGGACGATCAACGCACTTTCAGGGATGTGGTCAGGTGAGGCTGGGCCTGCCAACCCTAGATGTCCAGGGCCCGTGGGACAAACTGAAGCAGGAGCCAGCTCCTGCCATCTCCTGCCTCTAGCTCAAGGCACCTCATCGGAGGTAGATCCTGTGGCCAGGCAGGTAACCTTGGTGAGGATGGACAGAGGCCACTGCCCTATGCTTTGGATCCAGGAAGTCGAGGCAAATGAATGGCATACCCAGGGCAGCAGCTGATATTGCATTTTCCCCAGATGCCTCTGCATACACTCAGCCTGCAGCCTCCTGATCCAGTCCCCTCTGCAGGCACGGGCCCCTCCCACACAGGCTGACCTGTGGCATCTGTGTTCCAGTTAGCTGACCCTTACTGGCTTCCCCTCGGGAGGTGTGTTTGGGTAAGGGAGGCATGCGCAGAGTTACTTGCTCCAAGTGTCTCCTCTCCCGGTGAACCCCAGGCCCAGGTTTTTCTTTCTTGTCCTGACTCTTCCTCTTTCTTCTGTGTAGCCGCCTCCTCTATGCCCTACAATAACAGCTCTAGGCCCTACAATAACAGCTCTGCCTTTCAAATGCCCTAGGCAATCTGATCCCTCAGATGGGTCACCTGAGCTGGTCTCTCTCCACCCACAGATTCGAGGTTGCTCCCTGCCCAGAACCATGTTCTGGGGCCCAGAAGTCCAAGGCACCGTGGCTCAATTTGCATGGGCAACAGGAGGTGGAAGCAATCAAAGCCAAGCCCAAGCCCCTTCTGATGCCCATCAACACATTCTCTGGTATTGTCCAGTGAGCCTGCAGGGACAGCAGGCCCAGGAGGAAGGATACACTACCCCACCAACTCCAAACACTCACACCAACAGCCAGAGCAAGGCCCGGCTCCACACGGCAGCTTTGGCCTTGACCAGGAGCCAGCGAGTGCCTGGGAGCACAGGGAGCCTACCCTGGGGACTGTGATGAGGAAGGGCCCACATGGAGGTCTACGGATGGCCCAGGCAATGCTGTCGCTGCTTGAGAACATACACACCAAGCCCAGCTTCTCATACAAATGTCTACTCCTTCATTTAGCTTCAATTCCCACTTCTCCCACTGTCCTCTCCCACCCAAGCTCCCCATCCAGCCCTTAAAACCAGGGTTAAAGCTGCTGTCTTGGCCAGAGCCCTGTGGCCTAGGGGAAAATTGGAAGCAAGGAACAGCAACAGCACCACCTCCCTCCCAAGTCTCTTCCCTTCCCACTCTCAGGCCACTGCCCACCTCACTCAGCCCAGGCAGGTGTCTCTATCAGGTGAGAGAAAAATGTCAGACTCAATAAATGTACACTGAAGTCTTTCTGCTTTCATCTCATACCTGGCAATATTTATATGTTAATAGGAATCATCAGGGCAGTCCTTTTTATAACCTATTGAGTCCACTTGGGCCAGGTAAGAGTTCTGTGAAGTATAAACTAGTGTGTTCTGTCTCCTGCCCCTTGCTTACTCTGTCACTGCTCTGGAGTGCAGTGGCACAATCACAGCTCACTGCAGCCTCCATCTCTCAGGCCCAAGCGATCCTCCCACCTCAGCTTCTCAAGTAGCTGGGACCACAGGTGCATGACACCATGCCCTACTACATTTGGGATTTTTTGTTTTGGGGCCTTTTTTTTTTTTTTTTGACAGTCTTGCTCTGTCACCCAAGCTGGAGTGCAATGGCATGATCTCAGCTCACTGCAACCTCCACCTCCCGGGCTTAAGCGATTCTCCCTGCCTCAGCCTCCCAAGTAGCTAGGATTACCAGCATGCACCACCACGCCCTGCTAATTTTTGTACTTTTAGTAGAGACAGGGTTTCACCATGTTGGCCAGGTTGGTCTCAAACTCCTGACCTCAGGTGATCTGCCCGCCTCAGCCTCCCAAAGAGCTGGGATTACAGGCATGAGCCACTGCACCCGGCCGTTTTGGGGCTTTTTTTTTTTTTTTTTTTTTTTTTTTTGTAGAGATGAGGTCTTCCTAAGTTGCCCAGGCTGGTCTTGAATTCCTTGGTTCAAGGGATCCTCCCACCTCGGCCACCCAAAGTGCTGGGATTACAGGCGTGAGCCACCACACTGGCCAAGCCAGAGATTAAAGACACCAAAATTCTTGGCTTTTATGTTCAAAAACTTACATCCAAGTGTAAAATAGAAAGATCAATGACACATCTTCAGTTTCTTCATCCCCAGAAATAGGTATGGTGTGGGGGGAGAGTAACAGAGAAAACAAAAATGCTTGGACTTGAGTCCTATCACCTGTAGAAGATTCCCTTTTAAGTTTGGGAATCCAAGAATAGAGAAGAGGGCGCCTTGCTTTGGGCCAAATTGCCCCAGGAGTGGAAGCAAGTCTCAATGGCAGGATACCTTCTCAATGCCAAGGGGAGTGTAAGATGGACCACCTGGGGTGCAGAGCCAGAGGGGTCCAAGGTCAGTCTTAGAGAGATTCCCTGTGCTTGTACAGGACATGGGAAGCAGGCGGAGATTTTCTCGGGTGGCTGAAAGCAGGCAAGCTCAAAGGGAAAATGGTGCAGCTGCAGGCAGCAGTGTGGAGCATGGCACCTGAAGGCCAGGTGCAGAATTGTAGGCACCTCCACAGACTCCAGCATGGTGCAGTGAGGGAGGGAGCCTGGAGGATGCCATTCACTCCATTCTCACTGCCCCCACCCTGACTGATGGTTTTACTTGCCTGAAGCAATCCAGGTGTTTAGCCCAAGTTCCTGGGCAACATGGGCAGCCAGAGGCTGGGCGGGGCCCTTGGTCTAGCTCCAGGTGCACCCTGCAGGCCCCAGGACATGCCCCTCGCACACCTGCACATGTCCAGGCACATTGGAGTCTGACATCTGCCTCCCAGTGGAGATGAACCCAGGACAGGTCAGGACTGAGAAGTGGATGGATGCGCTATCCTCCACTGAGGCTGCCCACAGAAGAACCCAGGGAGGGGCAGGAGTAGGGCAATCATTAGTGTGACTGAGGTGGTTTTAAACCTGAAATGATTGCAGTAGCACTGAATTTGAGTGAGTTTACCTGGAGGAGACTAGATTTTATTTTTCCTGCCATTGGTATGATATAAACGGATTCATACCAATTTCATCACCAATCATTAGGTTTTCAGTAGATGTCTGCAGAGTTTACCAGTTTTTTAGGTTAAGTGAGGCCCCTGGGCCTGCTCCCCAACATACTCTCTACCAGCTGACAATGCAGGCAAGTCATAGGCCGAATTCCCTTACACATAGACATGTGTTGGCAAGCAGTTCCACTCCACCCCCAGCCAAATTAGGTGCTCTGAGCAAACCTTGTATGAAAAGTTTACTGAATCAGGAGCTGCACACTGGACCATTTTGAAGCAAAGCCTATAGCATCCTTCCAAAGGGTTTGGACTACTGGCATCTCTAGATTTTTTTTTTTTTTTTTTGAGACGGAGTCCCACTCTGTTGCCCAGGATGGAGTGCAGTGGCGTGATCTCGGCTCACTGCAAGCTCCACCTCCCGGGTTCATGCCATTCTCCTGCCTCAGCCTCCCAAGGAGCTGGGACTACAGGCACACACCACCACAACCAACTAATTTTTTTGTATTTTTAGTAGAGACAGGGTTTCACCGTGTAAGCCAGCATGGTCTCGATCTCCTAACCTCGTGATCCACCTGCCTCGGCCTCCCAAAGTGCTGGGATTACAGGCATGAGCCACCGCACCAGGCCATCTCTAGATTATTATAGCCTGTTCCAGCAAGAGAGGAAATGCCTTCAAAAAAATTATCTCCAATCCAGGTGGCTTGGACACCACTAATTTCACCAGTGAAAAACTATTTCTAATATCTATTATGTCCATTAGTGAAGACACTTCTGTTGATTTAAGATTGTCGACGTGCTTGTACTAGCTGTCTCTGTCTTTTTGATGAAATGCTAGCTAACCACCTCAAGTGTGTGTACTCTCAAACAGGGCACCAGACCACCCTTAGGTGTAGGTTAAAACTGTGCAGCACATACATATGGCTCTGGGGACTGCCATGTGCTGGCGATCGGCTGCAAGGAGTTCCCCTGGACGACTGCCATCAGCTGTCAGCCCTCCTTAGGGACTGTCCCAGCTGGAGACAACCATGTCACCCAAGGTCATGCCATTTCCGAGGGCAGTATGCATCCAATGAAACAATTCTAGGCCCCGGGGACAAAAATACCTGCCTTCCTGGAGCTTGGATTCTGGTGGAGACAGACAATAAACAAAGTCAACACATGAAATATAAGCCCGTAGTGCCTTGGTCAGTGATAAGTTCTAGAGAGAACGATCAAGTAGGGCAGGGGAGTGGGAGTCTTGGGGGCGGGGTGGGTACAGGGGTATGGGATTTGCGATGTCAGAGTGGACCGTGTTGATCTCTGTCTGTGGTTGGTCACTGATCAGGGTGCATTCCAGTACAGACCTGAAGAAGATGAGGGAGACAGCCTGGTGGATACCATTCATTCCATTCTGGCTCCCCCCCACGCCGACTCTGACGGTTTTACTTGCCTGAAGCAGTCCAGGCGTTTAGCTCAGGCTCCTGGGCCACATTGGCAGCCAGAGGCCAGGCGGGGCCCGAGGCCTAGCTCAGAGCGCACCCTACAGGCCCCCGGACGCGCCCCTAGCGCACCTGCGCACGTCCGGGCAGGTGGCCCGCGGAGGCGGTGGGACGTGGCAGGTGCGGCTCGCAGGTGCGCTGGCCCCGCCCCCACCTTCGCCCCCGCCCCGCCTCTCCCTCCGGGCGGGGCCCCTTTCGGTCCAACGGCAGGACCTGGGGGCTGTGGCCGGGGGCGGCCGTTGACCTGGTGACCGCGGCGCCGCCCCAGACCGGGGGCGCAGTCCCACTCGCTCCGAGCCCCGGTCCCCCAAGCCTCCCTCCCGGGTACCTGGGGCCGCGCCCGCCCTGCGCCCAGCTCCGCCCTCCGTCGGCCCAGGCCTGACAGAGCCCGGCAGCCATGAGTGCCAACCCCCGGTGGGACATCAGCAGGGCGCTGGGGGTGGCCAAGCTCTTCCACCTGGTGTGCGGGGTGCGGGAAGCCTGCGTGACCCCGTTCCTGACCCTTTACCTGAGGCAGCTGGGCTTGGCCGCGCCCTGGGTGGGCACCCTAATGGGAACCAAGCACCTAATCGCTGCCTTCTGGGCTCCCGTCTGTGCCTTCCTGGCCAAAAGCTACCGGAAAAGGAGAGCGCTTCTGATCGGCTCCCTGCTCGGCTCGGTGGGGGCCAGCCTGCTGATGGTCCTGGTCCCACCGGTAGACAAAAATCGGGTGCACTTCCCTTGTAATGGAAGCAGCGGCCTGACCAGCACAGACGCACTCCCGGGGGTCACGCTACCTGTGAACATCACCTCGGCCCAAGAGTCTGCCTCCAGCCACCCAGCCAAGAGGACTGCAGAGGTGGAAATGCCTGGCTTCAGAAACCCACCTGGTGAAAGTGACCGAGAAACTTTCCGTGATCTGCACGTCTACTTAGCGCCCTCCGTTGAAGGAGCTAGGACCACATCCCAAGCTCTCCTCCATCCTGTCACTTCGGGGCTGAAAGATCATCCCTGGGAAGTTACTTTTGAGGTGGTCAAGACAGCCCTCCCCTTGCTTCCTGGGGGGAAAGGGCCCGGGAATCCAGCCAATTTGTCAGGGACCAAGGGGAAAGCCTGGGCTTTTGACCTGTCCTTGGAGGCGTTGCGGCGGACTTTTATCCTCTCCTTGGGGTCCGTGGCGTTCTGGGAGCTGCTGACAGCGCCTCTGGAGCAGGTGGCAGATGACAGCCTTTATGAGTTCCTGGATTTTGTGGATGCCACTGACCGATACAGAAGCCTGTGGGTCTGGAGGTTGCTGGGCATGTCGGCAGGCGTGTGTGGCATCACAGCCTTGGTGGGGCAGCTGGACTGCTTCCTGATGACCAGTGGCCCCCGAGGTGTGGTCCACTTCTATGGGTACTCGGTGGTCAGCACCCTGGCCTTACTGGTGAGCATTGCCTTTCCCATTCCCATCTGTCAGCAGTGGGAGCCCAGCTACAAAAGGGTCAAAGCACTGTCCATTGTGGGGGGTGACCCCCACCTCATTCTCCTCGCCTCCACCACTGTTTTGGTAGGAGCCATCGTCAGTACTGTCCAGAACTTTCTGTTCTGGCACATGAAGGACCATGGGAGCGGCGAGCTGGTCATGGGTTTCTCGGTCGCCCTCAGCTTGCTGGGGGAAATTCTGCTTCATCCGTTCAAAGCTACATTGCTTAGGAAACTGTCCAGGACGGGCCTGGTGGGGCTGGGGCTGAGCTGCCTCGCTGGGCAGCTGCTGTACTACTCTTTCCTCTGGAGCTGGTGGTCCGTCCTCCCCATTCAGATCTTGAGTGCCATTAGCAACAGAGCTTTGTGGTGGGCTGTGGGGGCCTCAGTAGAGGACCTGGCCACTCCCCGCATGGAGAGGGCTCTGAGTGCCTTGTTCCGAGGCCACTTTTACGGGAGTGGCTGTAGCCTGGGCAGCTTTGTCGGGGGCTTCGTGGTGATGCGCTTCAGCCTGGCTGTGCTCTACCAGGCCTGCTGTGTGGCCCTGTTGCTCTGGTTGGCCTTGCTCCTGTCCATACAGCGGAGGCTGCCCCGAGAGCGGAAAATCAAGTACTCGAAGCTGCTGTCCATGGAGGTGAGTGACACCAGTGACTCTGAGCAGGGGACAGAACAGGACTGGCTTGTGAAGGCCATGAGGGAGGAACACTCAGACTGAAAGGGCTGAGAAATCCAGAGTGTGCTGATCCAGCAAGGAACGAATGGACTGAACAAAACTCAGCCTGCTGAGGACAGAAACCTGCCCTGGACTGCTGGGAGCCGGGGAAGAGAGGATGGGTCTGTGCTGAAGGCCCAACAGGATCATCTCATTGCATGATTTTCTTTACTTTTGAAGTAAAAGGAGATTTAACTTTTTGCCAATCTTTTTTAGATAATGGAGGAAGAATACATTTGCTTTTTAAAAAGTTCCCTCTATAGTCACTATATGTTTACGTTTAAGGTTTGCAAAAGTCCTGACTCAGGTGCTGTTGAATTCAGCAATGGCTGAAGCGATCAAATCAAACTGTCAGTGCCAGGAAGACCATGGGGACCTGCAGGATTCAGTTGGCAGAGAGGGCAGCTGACTTGGATGAATCATGGCATTCCCAGGGGTCATAAAGGCATTAGCCTGCTTCTGTGAAAGCCATGCTGTGGGCAGGTAAGAATGGTAATGGAGGACCGGGCGTGGTGGGTCATGCCTGTAATCCCAGCACTTTGGGAGGACGAGGCGGGTGGATCATGAGGTCAAAAGATCGAGACCATCCTGGCCAACATGGTGAAACCCCGTCTCTACTAAAGACACAAAAATTAGCTGGGCGTGGTGGCGCGCACCTGTAGTCCCAGCTACTCAGGAGGTTGAGGAAAGAGAATCACTTGAACCCTGGAGGTGGAGGTTGCAGTGAGCTGAGATCATGCCACTGCACTCCAGCCTGGTGACAGAGCAAGACTCCATCTCAAAAAAAGGATGGTAATGAAAACAAACTCCTTTCTGTTCCCACTGGTATACAGGTGCCCACACTCACACCCAAGTACTTCCAACAGGAGAAAATAATGGGAAATGTATGTGTGTTGGGGGGGAAGTGGGAGGTTAATAGGTTTCATTCTTACCTTCTCACACATGTGTGTCCCACTTAGAATCATCATCTATATTTACATCAGAGCAGGGGCAATTTCATGTCTTTTGAACTCACATTTTGCATGCTCTGCCTCACAAAGCACATGGAGATTTTAACATCTGTTTTATTGGGGTGCAGACATCTCCATAGGTCAGGGTGCTATAGGTTCTCCATGCTGTACCTGTGCCCAGGCACTTGGTGGGGTTTTGGGAGTGACAAACTAGTGCTTCTGCCTTCCCAAACTCCCCCAGGGGAAGGGCCTGGAATAAAGGGCCATTTATTTCAGAGGCCAGTCCCAGGGCCCAATTCTTCGACCTTATCATTAGTTAAACATAGGATATTGAATTTAGAAGAAGCCTCACTGCACAAATGCAGAAAACGTCTCACAGCTGGAGAAGGGGAAGCAGATATATGAATGTCCACTGGGTCAGACATGGTTCTAGGATCTTTATTTGTTGTTGTTGTTGTTTGTTTTTTTGTTTTGTTTTGTTTTGTTTTGAGACAGAGTCTCACTCTGTCGCCAGGCTGGAGTGCAGTGGCGCCATCTCGGCTCACTGCAACCTCCAAGTCCCTGGTTCAAGCGATTCTCCTGCCTCAGCCTGCCAAGTAGCTGGGATTACAGGCGTGCACCACCACACCCAGCTATTTTTTGTGTGTGTGTGTTTTTAGTAAAGATGAGGTTTCACCATGTCGACCAGGATGGTCTCGATTTCCTGACCTCGTGATCTGCCCGCCTCAGCCTCCCAAAGTGCTGGGATTATAGGCGTGAGCCACTGCACCTGGCCCTTTATTTGTTTTTTAATTCTCCCTAAGAAGTTTAAGGTACAAATAATCAACAAAAAAATTACCTCCACCCTAAACAATAGAGATTTGTCTCATATATATATAAAACATTTAGGGGTGGGCAGCCCAGAGATGCTGCCACTGCTGGATGATGCCACTAGGGATCTAGAATCTTTTCATCTCCTCACACTGTCATACTCAGCCTGTAAGCTACCCTCCCAGATTTGTACCCTCATAGGAACAAGATGGCTGCTGCTCTGCCAAGCCTTTCATCCATGTTCCAGGCAGTAAGAAAAGGGGAAGACAATAGGGCAAAGGGAGAAACAGGAACAAGTGTCTGTATCAAGAAAATAGGCTGCACGGTGGGTGGCTCACGCCTATAATCCCAGCACTTTGGGAGGCCGAGGCAGGAGGATTGCTTGAGCCCAGGAGTTGGAGACCAGCCTGGGAAACATGGTGAGACCTTGTCTCTTAAAAAAAAATAATAATTAGCCAGGTATGGGGTGTGCATCTGTAGTCTCAGCTACTCATGAGGCTGAGGTGGGAGGATAGCTTGAGCCCAGGAGTTTAAGACTGCAGTGAGTTGTTTGTGCCAATGCACTCCAGCCTGGGTTACAGAGCAAGACCCTGTTTCCAAACAAACAAACAAACAAACAAACAAGAAAAAGGAAAGATAAGCCTTCCCAGAAACTCCTCAGCAGAGAGAACCGTGTCACATGGCCACCCAGCTGCAAGGAAGTCTGGGAGGAAGTATTTTCAACTAGGCACAGTTACACACCAAGCAAAATCAGGGTTGCGTTAGGAAGAGGGGGCTGGATATAGAATTGGCAACTAACGACATCTGCAGCGGCCTCCACGATGGAACTCACAGCCGGGTCCAGCTTATTGCAAAGCCTGCATTCCTTTCACCCCACTAAGCCAGCTTCCCCGACAGAAATGACTTTAGTAATGTGACCCCCACAACTACTCTATGAATAAATCAAATTTGTTATCTGCATTTTACAAATGAGAAAGTGTAGTCTCAGAAGTCACACACTGGGTCACTGGCAGAAATACTACCAGAGTCCTGGATTTCCTTACTCCAAATTTGGGGCATTTTCTTCTGTGCCGGTAGTCTGGCTGTCGATCCAAGTAGGAGGAGCATTTGCAAAAAGCCAGGTTCCTGGGTTCCACCAGAATCTCACAGGTGGGGCTCAGTAATCTGCATTTTTGGAGCAATCTCCGAGTGATTCTGATGTGGTTAACCAAGCACTGTTTACTCGGTTGTCCTTTCCAGCTCTATTTGTCTCAACAGTTCTTTGCCAAATGTTTCCATTTGCAGTGAAACAAATAACAACTATTGAGTGGTCACTCTAGGCCAGGCACTGTTCTAAACAAGGTACGTGGTGTACGCGTACTAGCTCATCAAGTAATCATAGGACGTAGTCACCATTAGCATCTCCAGTTTCAGATGGCAGAACCGAAGGTTCAGTAACTTGCCTGAGGTCACGCAGCTAGTAAGTGGCAGAGTTGGTATTCAGATCCAGCCTGGTGGTTCCTGGGCCTGAGATTTTAATCACTGTGCTCTATGCTGGAGAAATTGAGGGGAAAGAGGGGGGGGATTAAATATTAAGATCTAAGGTAGCCATCACTTGAAATTGACTGGATAGTAGATAATATTTACTATTTCAACAGAACATACAATAATACCAAAAAGCAAACACATGTATGTCCTCTTAAACAAAAGGATGAGGAACAGGAACTGGCTTAAGAAAAGAGTTAAGTAAGTGTGATCTAGCCTGAACAAGAGGAAGAAGGAAGAGAAAAAGAAGCGTGAGTTGGGGGGAGGGGGTGTACAGGACAAGACCGAAGACTGAGGGAGGTGATGATTGATGGATCTAAAAGATTTTAAGGGAAGGATGGGAGGCCAAGATGTTCATTTGGGCTATTTAGTTAATGTTTGACTTTATGTTTTCTTTAATGTATGAAGCCCCTTTTTCCAAAGGGGAAAAAAAAAGTTGTGCTACTTGCCATGGGGAATTCAAGGATGAATAAAATGCACAGTCCACACCCTCAAGAAGCTAACAGTCTAACTAGAAGATTTACTTACACACACACACAAACACACAAACACACACACAACACACACACACACACGGAAGCACAGGACAGTGTGGGAGATGCTGCAGAAAAAGTATTACTAGAGTTTAAGAAAGAGAACATTTCTGACTCAATAACTCAAATAAGGTTTTGTGGAGATTATATTTAAGTCTAAGTCTTCAAGGATAGGTAAAGTTTATTTATTTATTTATTTTTACTTTTGTTTTATTTATTTATTTTTTTTCTGAGATGGAGTCTTGCTTTGTCGCCCAGGCTGGAGTGCAGTGGCACAATCTTGGCTCACTGCAAGCTCCGCCTCCCGGGTTCACGCCATTCTCCTGCCTCAGCCTCCTGAACAGCTGGGACTACAGGCGCCCGCCACCATGCCCGGCTAATTTTTTGTATTTTTAGTAGAGACGGGGTTTCACCGTGTTAGCCAGGATGGTCTCGATCTCCTGACCTAGTGATCCGCCCACCTCGGCCTCCCAAAGTGCTGGGATTACAGGCGCGAGCCACTGCGCCCGGCCTAGGGTAGGTAAACTTTTAACAGGTAAAGTGAGGGTGGTAACCTAGGAGAGGGCATTCTATGACTATATAAACAAAGCTGCAGAGGTGGAAAAAGCATGAAGAATACTTGGAGGGTAGCAAGACATACAGTTTGGCTAAAGCGAAGGATTTGTGTAGGATGGTGCTTAAATGCAAGGCTGGAAAGACAGATGGGACCAGGTCATGAAAGGCCTTGATCCTGTAGACTTTGGATAAGCCATGGAGGGCTCTGGTCAGGGTCATAAGAGGCCACACTGAGCTTTTTTTTTTTAAGTAGCTTTATTGAGGTATTAACATATAATAAACTGCACATATTCAAACACCGGTGAAATGCCTCCTGCCCTTTATAATCCCTCCTCCGTAGCGTGCTCCATTTTGGTCCCGGGCAACCACTGATCTACTTTCTGTCACTGTGTGTTAATTTGCATTTTTAAAGACTATAGTATGTCCTCTTTTATTCTGACTTTTTTTACTCAGCATAATTGCAATGACTTCTGACAACAACTACCAGGAGCTAGGCTCAAGGTTAAGGGCTCAAGACTGCTCCCACTTCAGATGCAGTCACAATTTTGGGGGCTTCCCACTCCCCTCTCAGGTTTGGTAATTCACTAGAAAACCCCACAAGACCCACGAAAGAACTACACTTATTATTACAGTTTTATTGTAGCCAAAGTTTTCAAAATCAGAACCAGCCAAAAGAAGAGATGCACAGGGCAAGGACTGGGAGTGTCCCAAACATGAAGCTTCCATGTCTTCTCCTTGTGGAGTCAGGACAAAGGACCCTTCCAGCACACTGATGTGAGACAAGACACTGAGCGTAGCCAAGCAGTCAGACTCACCCGAGCTTTGATATCCATTGTTTTTATTAGGGGCTTCATCACATAGGCATGACTCATTGGATCACTGGCCTATGACTCAATCTTCAGCCCTGCTCCTCTCCCCAGAAGTCAGGCCTATATCAAAAGCTCAAAGCCCCAACCTTCTAAATACATGGTTGGTTTTTCTGGCATGGCCAGCCCCCATCTTGAGTCATTCCATTAGCATAAATTGTGTAAGGTCCCATCATGAGTCACCTCATTAGCATAAACTCAAGTGTGGTTGACAGGCCAACCACCAGTAAAAAAGACACTCTTCGACTTGGAAAATTCCAAGGATTTAGAGCCTATCTCCCAGGAACTGGGGACAAAGGCCAAATTCTTTATTACACAGGATAATTAATTTGAAAATCAGCAATGATCTTAAGTGCATTAATAGTTTCTTCCTTTTCATTGCTGAGTAGTATTCCATTGCATGGATATACCACGATTTATCCATTCATTTATATTGTATTATATTACCATACATTTCAATTCCAAACATGTAATTGCTTTCAGTTTTTGATGATTACAAATAAAACTTTTATGAATATTCATATCTAAGTCTTTGTGTGAACACACGCTTTCATTTCTCTTGGGTAAATACCAAGGAGTGGATTGACCAAATCATATGGTAGACATATGTTTAACTTTTAAAGAACTGCTAATAGTTTCCCAAAGTGGTTGTGCCATTTTACATTCCCACCAGCAGGGCATGAGAGTTCCAGCTTCTCTACACCCTCACCAACACTCAGTAAAATCAATCTCTTTAATTTTAACCGTTCTAACAGGCATGTAGTAGTAGAGTTGTTTCTTGGTATCCTTGGGGAATTGGTTCCAAGACCACCTCCTACAGATACCAAATCCAAGGATGCTCAAGTCCCTTCTATATAATGGCATAGTATTTGCATATAACTTATGCACATCATCTTATATACTTTAAATCATTTCTAGATTATTTAAAATACCTAATATAATGTAAATGCTATGTAAGTAGTTGTTATTCCCTACTTTTGCATCTGTATTATTTTTGTTGTTGTTTGGATTATTTTTGATCCATGGTTGGTTGAATCAGCAGGTACGGAGCCCACAGATACAGAGGACAGACTGTATCTCACTGTGATTTTAATTCTCATGTCCCTAATAACTAGTAATGTTGAGCACCCTTTCTCTGTACCGTGCTTTTGAAAATTAATCAGCAGCATAGAAGTACACAAGAATAACAACAGCCTCAGGTGACTATAAGAGCACATTACCTATCAGAATAGTAAATGCTTCAGAGCAGTGGTCTTTGTTTCTAGAATGCTTTAATGGGAGGAAAAAAAAAACAGAACAAAACAAAAAGACTTGATAACTTTGTGTCTTGGATAGTTTTACATACTCACAAGCCTAAAGATATTGAACCAAGTCAAATGATCTCTAGAGGCCCCTTTGACAATTCTTTTTTTTTACATTTTTTATTAGCAATGCTTTTGGAGAAAGAGCTTTTGAGAATTCAAATGTACGCGTGGGGATATGGCCTTTGTAGGAAAATGCTGAGACCACTGACTGCTTTCAAAGTTTATAAAAATGCGGAAGATGATCTTCAGTGCAAATTCCTTCGTTTAAACAAAGTCTGTCCCTGCCACACTGTTTGCCACATGGGTCTCCAGCATGCGGGATGGGAATAGTAATCTTTCTGACAGGCACATCTCTATAGGAAGTCTTTCCTGACCAACACCCTACTTTTCTATTTCTGCTAACTTTGGTTTACCATTCCCCCTCGACTTGGTTTCAAGGAAGTGGCTTTTCACGTTTTAGGGCATATTGTTTCCTTTAATAAGCTGACGAATGTCACAGGGGCTGTCCTCTGAAATATGCATATCAGATTTTTCATGCTGGTCACATTTCATGGATAAAACAACAACAACAACAAAACAGTCACTGGCCTCAGGTTAATTAAACAGATGAACCTGCTTGAGGCAGATTTTCTGCCAGATATCTTCCCAATGTCCCAAATTAGGAAACCTCCTTTCTAATTTCGTCTTCCCTTTACTCCATGACCTGTGATTTTGCTGTCACGAGCTTCCCGAATTCTCTTCACTTTGCCCCTTCTCCTTGTTGAGCCCTGCAGGCTTCTGTCTTTATGCTGGCGGCACCCTGGGGTGAGGTGTTGCAGAGTCAGAGGCTGTGATAGAGGGAAGTAAGTTCAGAGTGAAGGCCCTGGGCTCAAGCGTTCTTCAGGTCACCCTTCCTTCATAAGTATGTACTGAGCAAGGCTGTGATCCTTCAGGGTGCTGGGTGAGTCTTTAGGAACGCGTCTACCACTCCCTCCTGCATAACGTCACCAGATGCCTCCCACATCTTCCCGGGGTAATTAATGTCACCTCCCAATGGCTTTATGCCATTCTGCACATTTTGTTCACAGGGCCGCAATCATTGTTTGGGGATGCACATGTGAACTACCCCCCCCGTCCGATCGGAGTAACACTCAACGGACTCTCTCCCTTGGATATGAGGCCGATGCTACCCACCCTGCCTATTTGTGCAGATGTGAAACCTTGAACTGCACTTTGTTTCTATGACAAAGCCTGCCTGGGAACAATACTGACAATTTAGAAGGAAAGGCCGAACCACAAAACCATGTCCACAAACAGAATGGGACAGGACAACGTAAATGTCAAGTGAGAAGTTTAAATAGTGAGCATTTCTCTCTGGGCAGACAGGACAGCTGAGCGCAGGGACCTTCTGAAAAGACCCTCATGGAGTTTATGAAATAAGCCGGCGTATGGAGGAAGGACTGGGTCGTAAAGTCTTAGACTTCAAGCTGTGACTTTCACTCTATTACCTACTTTACCAGTAGGTCAGTTAAGCTTTACAGAATCAAAAGTAAATACAATTCTCAGCTCCTGATCTTGTAGCTGTTAAAGATATTGAGTTTGACCCTCTGACATGTCTTGGTTCCAGCTAAGAGGAATGTAAATATTGAATGAGCCATTAACCATCATGCTCAGGTTTACTTAGACCACTATTTCCCAACTGAGTTTTGCAGAACATGCAATCCTAGTGGTGTGGAGGGTTGGGGAGAGCATTACATAAGGATTCTGTCTGTGGTCAAACAACTTTGGAAAATGATGTTAATTATTGTCACCTTTTAGAAACTTGCAATACCTGTTAGCAATTAAAGACTCTCAAAAGCCTGCAGTCAACAAACTTGTTTCTCTCTCTTTGACCTATAATTCCCCTTATGTGGTGTCACAGCCTTCTTCGCATGTAACACTAATCACGATCTTTCAGAACTAGTGTTCCCTAGAAGACCCTTTGAAAAATGCCATTTGTAGTTTTCTGGATGATCTTTTCAACCCAATAGAGTTGATGCCAGGGACAAATCTGGGCTCCCACACCCAGACTAGCAGGAATCTTGTGCGTCGGGCTAATAAGAGGTGGACAAAGCTTATCTCATTAAGTCAGACCATCAAATTTATGAAATAAGATATTAGTATGGCCTCATTGTACAGGTGACTTGACTAAGGTTCAGAAAGGTTAAAATTCGAAACTAGATCTATCTGACCACAGAGTCCGTCCTCCCAACTGCTACATTCAACCAACTCAGGCAAGTGAAGAGGCTCTTCCTAGCAGGGGAGCAATGATCAGGGATAGGGGCACAATAGAGATAACACACCAGATACGCGTGTAGATTTCACAGGAGATTCATGGAAAATAAAGTTGGAAAGAAGTGTTGGAACAGATTGTGAACTTCCTAAGCCTCAATCTAAGGGAAACAGAACTCACACTGGTTGAAATTTGCTTCTGCTCTTTATGCCTCACACCTGCACACAGCAATACTCATAATCCTCATACTAATCTCAATTTACAGTAGGGGAAACCAAGGCTCAGAAAGGTCAACTGACTTAGTTGCCCATGGTTGCGACTATTAGATGGTAGAGCCATGGTTTGAACCCATATCTGGCTGCTAGAAATCCACGGTTGTTCCTCTGAAGACTATGGGGCCTCTAGAAGAGAAGATTTGACTAGCCAATGGAGAGGACTGAAAGCTTTTAACTCTTGCCTGTTGCGAAGTGAACAATGAGTCTGAGTTGGTGGAGATTATGGGTGCTGAGACATTTGTTTTGGACAGACCACCACAACATTCCAGGCAAGAAGAGGCTGCATCCCAAAAGGTATGAGAATCAAATGACAACATAGTATGTGTATTGGAATTTCAAAAGTGGAATCAACAAGACAGCCCTTGGTTGTTTATTGGATAATGGGGCCGCGGGGATCAACGAAGAAGGAGTATCAAGGATCGTGGATGATTTTGTAATTTTGAACCCATGTGATGAGGAGGAAATTCTGCAGAAATGGCAGAGCCCGGGAGCCCATGAAGCCATCCATCCAAAACCTGAAACCAAAGCTCAGATCATAAGAATTATAGACAATACAGGCCGGGTGCGGTGGCTCACGCCTGCAATCCCAGCACTTTGGGAGGCCAAGGCCGGCGGATCATGAGGTCAGGAGATGGAGAGCATCCTGGCTAACACAGTGAAACCCTGTCTCTACTAAAAATACACACACACACACACACACACACAATTAACCAGGCGTGGTGGCGGGTGCCTGTAGTCCCAGCTACTCAGGAGGCTGAGGCAGGAGAATGGCGTGAACCCGGGAGGCGGAGCTTGCAGTGAGCTGAGATCGCGCCACTGCACTCCAGCCTGGCAGCCTGGGCGACAGAGCGAGACTCCTTCTCAAAGAAAAAAAAAAAGAATTATAGACAATACAGCAAAAACTCCTCATCTGCTAGCTTCCTTCTACAATTGCTGACTGTCACTGAGACCAGAAGCCCTGCCACTTGGTGATGTTTGTGATGTGGAGCAAAGCAGAAGGCATGCTCAGCATCCACTGGCTTTCCACAGCCATGTTCATGAAACCTTTATCTTTTTGCTAGCCTGGCTGTGAAATGGCTTGGAGACATGAGGCTCCACTGGACTGAAGTTCTTTCCAATCCTGGGAGCCTGCGGTGCACGACAGAAACGTGACTGGTGAGGTGTTGCTGTGGTTTGAATATTTGTCCCCTCCAAAACTCATGTTGAAATTTAATCCTCTATGTGACAGTATTGAGAGGTGGGACCTTTAAGAGGTGAATGGTTCATGAGGATGCTGCCATCATGGATAAGTGAATGGGTTAATGAATTAATGGGTTATTATAGGAGTGGGGCAGGTGGCTTTATAAAGAGAGAGACCTGAGCTAGCATGCCTAGCCCCCTCGCCACGTGAGGCCCTGCAACACTTCGGGACTCTGCAGAGAGTCCTCAGCCTGAAGGCCCTCACCAGATGTGGCCCCTTCACCTTGGACTTCTCAGCCTCCGTAACTTTAAGAACTAAATTCCTTTTCTTTCTAAATTACCCAGTTTCAGGTATTCCATTATAAGCAACAGAAAACGGACTAAGACAGTTGTCATCTGCTACAGAAGTAAAACTTAAAATATGACCCCTGGGCAAGTCACTTACCCCACTGGGTCTCAGCTCCCATGTCTGAAAAATGAGGGCCTTGGTCTCTGTGACCTTCTAAGTTTGTGCCTCTCGGCCTTGACGTGATTCCCTCCTTTGGGCCAAGGGCACACCAGCCCTTCTCACCCTGCAGAATAGCATAGCATTCTGGAACCCGAGAGATGCTGGGGCCTGGAATGAAGGTTCATCTCCTTCCCCAGAACCTGGCAGAAAGTTCCTGGTCTGTGTGCAGAAGGACCACATTGAGCCAAGACACCAGCCCTATAGGCCAATCGATCTGCCCTCAAAGCCAGGGTCTAGGGAGTGGTGGGATGAGCCAGAGGGGGCAATCTGTGGTGACTGGAACTTGGTGTCTGGTCGAGGCCTGCAGCATGGGGGGCTACTGCGGAAGGCAGAGGTCTGGGTAGGCACCTTCAGGGCGGGGCACCTTCCTATTGGCACTCAACGTTCCCTTTAGCTTTGTTCATGTCGACCCCCATAGGCTGCAGTTTTGGACACTTGCATCCCCTCTGCCCTTTGCAAGGGGCAGGCCACGCTCTTGGGACTGGAAAGCTATTTTCTGCCTCCACACGGGGGTGGAATGGCTGTAAGCGGGGACTGAAGAGGACTTCTGAAAGCAAACCGGGACAGGAAGGGAGAGGATTCGACCAGGGGTTCCGAAGCTCTCCACCAGGGAGCGCCAAACACAAGGGAAAACTAGCGTCCCTCTTCATTGGGCAAACCTGGTCCCTATTCCCTTCCCAAAGCTGCAGCTCAGGATGAGGCCGGCAACCTGAAGGCCCTTTAGTTCTTGGAGCTTGGAATTACAGAAAACCCCGAGGATCAGGTGCTGCTGCTGAGCTGGCTTTGTGAGAGACAGGAGGCGAGGCCAGGGTCTGGGAAAAGGGAGCAGCTGCAAAGGCTTCCAGTGGAATTGGCAGATCAGCCTGGCCAGCCCAGACAGCCTCTGGCAGCCTTTCCTGAGGATATGGACGACCCTGATGCTACTTTTGTCTTGATCAGTGTAAATGTGAAGAAACAGGATAAATAGCTGCATGTACTTTTTGAGTTTCCTAGGGCTGCCGAGGGACCACCTGAGGTCAGAGTCACAATAATAAAACCAATTTCACAGACCCTCACCTCCTGCTCCTCAGCCCCATCCCCTTCCAAGCCTGGCTGCCCAAATCTCATCAGTGTATATTCCAGTGCCTGCAGAGAGAGGCTCACAAGGATTTACAAATAAGTCCTATCTCACCAGGCACTCACTGGATCTCTGTCACCATGGAAGAGATGAGAAGATTCCAAGAAAATTCCAAGACCCTCCACTATCATATCAACATGTTACAATTTTCCTCTTTCAGGAAGCATGTGGCATCCAGAAACAGTGCTTCTTCCTATTGTTCTTGGCAAATTACATCAAAATCTGTGTGCTCTTAGCCCAGAAAAGAGATGACACTTCCAGGAAGGAGAGAATATAGCACCTGCTTTTGGCTAAAGCCCCTCTTCTCCAAGGTTGTACTGGCAGGTTTTCTAAATTTTGATTAGAGAATAGTGAGAAGCTTGCCCTTGGAGAGGTGAGTTAGGTAAGAGAGCTATGATTGGATGTCACCACTGAACCTACCTGAAATGAGGTAAGAGAGTTGGGAATGGATCCCACCAGAGGCCCATCATTTTTATGGCAAGTCATAAGAGGGATCTGAATGTCTCCCCCCATGACAATAGCTGTCCCATCTTGCCTTGGAGCTTGGCTGTCAGCAGCAAATAAACCTCACTGTGTCTGTCCCTGGGACTAGCGAGTCAGACCAACTCAGGGGCTCAAGGTGTTTGGATATTTGAAGAAGTCTTGCCTTCCACAGAAGACCAGAGGTTGTGTGGTGATATCTGAATTTTGCTTAGCATTGTCTTGAACAGGAACTAAAGAAACATTTCAAGAAGAAAACAATTGCTTTTAAAAACTTAACTCTTCTTTGTCATTTGGTGCTCAGAAATCTTTGTCTCATTGCAAACAAAAGAAACTAAGTAAGGGCAGTCTTGGAAAGAAGACGCACCAGGTACCATTACTGCAGTCATACTGAGGCCCACCACCACCACGACTACCACCAATGGAAACGAGAGATGGGGTTCAGATGTGGATGACAAAGATGTGGATGACAAAGGTCTAGCATCAAAGGACAAAATCAACAGAAGTGAAGAGGCAACCTATGGAATGGGAGAAAATATTAGCAAATCATACATCTGATAAGGTGTTAATATGCAGAATATATGAAGAACTCTTAAAACTCAACAACAAAAAAACAAACAACCTGATTTTTAAATGGGCAAAGTACTTAAATAGACATTTCTCTAAAGAAAATATACAAAAGACCAGCAAGCTCATGAAAAGATGCCCAACATCACTAATCATTAGGGACATGCAAACCAAAACCACAATGAGATACCATCTCTCACACTCATTAGGATGGCTGCTATGAAAAACAAACAAAAAACGAACAACAACAACAAAAAAAAAACAGGCCAGGCACTGTGGCTGGCTTGTAATCCCAGCACTTTGGGAGGCCAAGTTGGGCTGATCCCTTGAGGTCAGGAGTTCACCTGGCCAACATGGTGAAACCCAGTCTTTACTAATAATACAAAAATTAGCTGGGCCTGGTGGCACACACCTGTAATCCCAGCTACTCAGGAGGCTGAGGCAGCAGAATCACTTGAACCTAGGAGGCAGAGTTTGCAGTGAGCAGAGATTGGACCACTGCACTCCAGCCTGGGTGACGGAATGAAACTGTGTCTCAAAAAATAATAATAATAATAATAAGTGTTGACAAGGATGGAGAAATTAGAACACTATGAACTGTTGATGGGAAAGTAAAATAGTGCAACCACTATAGAAAACTGTAGGGTTCTTGCTAAAAAAAATTAAAAATAGAATTACCATATGATCTAGCATTCCCATTCCTGAATATATACCCAAAAGAATGGAAGGCAAGGTCTTGAAGAGATATTTGTACATGCATGTTCATAGCAGGATTATTCACAGTAGCCAAAATGTGGAAGTAACCCAAGTGCCTATCAACAGATGAATGGATAAAAAGTGTGGTATATACATACAAAGGAATATCATTCAGCCTTTAAAAGGTTTCAAATGTTTCCTCTGTTCTTTTCTTTTTTTCTTCTCCTGTATTCTCATTACATGTATTTATATGAATAGCTTTTGTAGCTATCCCACAGTCCTAGGATGCTCTGTTTGGTTTTTCTTTTTTAGTCTCTTTGCACTTTGCTTTTTTTTTTTTTTTTTTTTTTTGAGATGCGGTCTCGCTCTTTCACCCAGGCTGGAGTGCAGTGGTGCAATCTTGGCTCACTGCAACCTCTGCTGCCCGGGTTCAAATGATTCTCCTGCCTCAAGCCTCCCAAGTAGCTGTGATTACAGGCACCTGCCAGCACGCCCAGCTAATTTTTGTATTTTTAGTAGAGACAGGGTTTCACCATCTTGGCCAGGCTGGTCTGGAACTCCTGACCTCGTGATCCACCCACCTCAGCCTCCCAAAGTGCTGGGACTACAGGCGTGAGCCACCGCACCCGGCCTTGCACTTTGCTTTTCAGTTTTGGAAGTTTCTTTTGAGATATCCTCAAGCTCAGCGTTTCTTTCCTCAGCTGTGTCCAGTATACTAATGAGCCTATCTGGGTGGTCTTTATTTCTATTACAGTGTTTTTGATCCCTAGTGTATGTTTTTGGTTCTGTCTTAGAATTTCTATCTCTTTGTTTAAATTGCCCATCTGTTCTTGCATGTTATCTGCTTTATCCATTAGAACGCTTAGCATATTAATTATATTTGGGTTAAATTCCTGATCTGATAATTCCAACATCCCTGTCACATGAGTCAGATTCTGATGCTTTCTCTGTCTCTATATTTTGTTTTTGCCTTTTAGTATGCCCTGTAATTTGTTTTCCCCAGACATAATGTACTGGGTAAAAGAAACTTCTGTTCATAAGCCTTTAGTAATGTGGTGGTAAGGTGTGGGGGAAGAAGAGCATTCTATAGTCCTATGAGTAGGCCTCAGTCTTTTAGTAAGCCTATGCCCCTAGACTGTGAACTTCAGACGTGCTTCTCAGTTGCTCCCCTCTCCCCTTAGGTAAACTAGGATGGTTAGAGTGAACTGGAATTAGGGTTTTCCTTCTCCCACATGGAAGGTTGGAGGAAATTAGAGTTGAGTATTTCCCTTCCTCCATGTGGAAGCTACAGCTGGTTGGAATTGGATATTTTCCTTCCCCTAAGTTAATTACGCTCTGATAAAAACCCAGCAGGTTAGACTGGTTAAATAGTTTCTCCTAGAGGAAGGCTTTGTTGAAAAGAATGGAATGCATTGGTATTTCCAAATAGCTTCTTTTCCCATCCCCAGGATGGAAGCATGAGGGAAATTTTCTCAAATTATTCACTGTGAGAACCTGGTAGAGCTCCAGGAGGTAAAATTCACCAGAGTGTAGGGACCCCCTTATGCCTGGGTACCCCTGGAATATTTATCTCTCAGACTTGTCCATGCCGAGCCTCCAGCAACTCATCAAGTACAATGCCGGTTTCTACTTGTGAGTTTCTGCTTCCGTATGTTTTGATTCTCTGTATTCACCTCTCTGTCTCTCCAATCTTGGGAGCACTGGTTTATCCTGTGACATCACTTGTCTCACAGATCTAAGAAGAGTTGTTGATTTTCCAGTTTTTTCAGCTTTTTACTTGTTAGGACAGAGTGGTTACTTCCAAGTTTCTTAACATGCCAGACCACAAACTAAAAGTTCTGCATTTTCAAAAGTGTTAACCTCTGAGGGTTTTCTAGTTGTGATCGTGACCTTTGGTTCCAACTCAATTTTAACCAAAGTCAAATCAAAGTGTTTGAAGCTTAAAACTCATATTTCCACAATATCCTTTGCCCAGTTTTTGTTCTGTTTCTTGTCTTTTTTCATGTGGTTTTGCAGAAGTGTGTTGTATAATCTAGATATTAATCCTTTGCTGATTTTCATTTCGGAAATATCTTTGCCCAGTCTGTCACTCATTTGTTAACTTTGGTATATTTTTTTGAACAGAAAATCTTATTTTGATGTAATCAAAGTTTTTTATTTTCCCATTACAATTTATCTTGAGGATCTTAAGAATCTCTCTTGCTACAAGGATTCTAGGGAGAAAAATAAAATAAAATAAGAATCTCTCTTGCTACCCCCCCCACTTCCAAGTTAAAAAGATACTACATTTTCCATATTAGCTTTTAATTTTAAACTCTCATTTTAGGTCTTTAATTCATTTGGAATTTCTTTTGAATAGACTTAAGATAGGGACCCACCTTTATATTTCTCCACTTAGCCAGTTTTCAAAATGCTATAGACTAAATAATCCACTCTTCCTCTATGATTTCTGGCACTACATCTTTATACTTAAGTCTGCTTTTGAGTTCTCTAGTTTTATTAATCTATTTGTCCCTGCACTAATATCACACTAATATCACAGTTAGCACTTGGCTTTGTAATGTCTCAATATTTGGTAAGGTGAGTCTTTCCTCTTTACTCTTCTTTTTTAGGCTTTATTCTCCCTTATAAATTTTACAGTAAGTGTTTCACTTTCCCCCAAAAAAATTCTGGAAATTTTATTGGAACTGCATTGAATTCGTACATTAATTTGGAGGGATTTGGCATCCTTACATTGTTAAGCCATTTATCTATGAATATAGTATGTATTTCTATTTATTATTATTATTATTATTATTATTTTCTTTTTTGAGACGGAGTCTCGCTCTGTCACCCAGGCTGGAGTGCAGTGGCGCCATCTTGGCTCACTGCAAGCTCCACCTCCCGGGTTCAAGCCATTCTCCTGCCTCAGCCTCTAGAGTAGCTGGGACTACAGGCACCTGCCACCACGCCCGGCTAATTTTTTGTATTTGTAGTAGAGATGGGGTTTCACCATGTTAGTCAGGATGGTCTCAATCTCCTGACCTTGTGATCCACCCGCCTTGGCCTCCCAAAGTGCTGGGATTACAGGCGTGAGCCACTGCGCCCGGCCTCAAAACTTCTTTATGTCCTTTAATAGTTTTAAATTTTGCTCCACAAAGATCTTATGTAGTTTCATTATATAAGGTCGTAAGTACTTGACAGTTTTTTATGCTATTGTAAAAGATCATTTTGTATATTTTTATATTTTCTAATTGGTCATTGACAGTGCAAACAAACCCTATCAGTTTCTGTATGCTGGGCATCATCTCCAGCCATCTTGCTGAACTCTGTTTTTAGTTCTGACTCTCTATCTCTTAATTCTGTTGTGCTTACTATGTAAATAAACATTTCATCTGCAAATAATCAATTTTGCCTTTACCCTGCTAGCACTTGACCCTCTTGTTGTTATTGGTGGTGGCAGTGGTGGTGGTTTTCATGGTCTTGGTGTGTTAGCAAGGAATTCCAATGCCATGTTGAATAGTAGTGGTAGAGTAACCATTTTTGTGTTCTCAACCTTAAAAAGAATCTGTCTAAAGTCTTTGTCTGTTTGTTTGTGTATTTGATTTTTAGAGACAGGGTCTCACTCTGTTGCCTAGGCAGGAGTGCAATGACATGATCATAGCTCATGGCGTCTTGAACTCCCAAGCTCAAGTGATCCTCCCACCCGAGTCTTCCAAGTAGCTGGAACTATAGGTGCCACCATGACCAGCTAATGTTTTTATTGTTTAATTTTTGTAGAAATTCCTGGCATCAAGCAATCCTCCTGCCTCAGCCTCCCAAAGTGCTCGGATTAAAAGCACCATGCCAGGCTACATCTAAAGCTTCAGTATGATGTTTGCTGAAGGCTTTATTAAATTAAAGAAGTTCCTTTTTATTCCTGGTTTTTCATAACACTCATCATAAACTTTATTAAGCATTTACTGGATCTATTAAGATCATGTGGTTTTCTTCCTTCTCTAGTTTATTCCTGTGGTGATTGTATATTAATATACTTTCTGATTTTTTTTTTTTTTTTGAGACAGAGTTTTGCTCTTGTTGCCCAGGCTGGAGTACAATGGCACGATCTCGGCTCACTGCAACCTCTGCCTCCCAGGTTCAAGCAATTCTCCTGCCTCAGCCTCTCAAGTAGCTGGGATTACAGGCGCGCACCACCATGCCCGGCTAATTTTTTGCATTTTTAGTAGAAATGAGGATTCACCATGTTAGCCAGGCTGGTCTCAAACTCCTGACCCCAGGTGATCCACCCGCCTCAGCCTCCCAAAGTGCTGGGATTACAGGCGTGAGCCACCATGCCTGGCCTACTTTCTGATTTTTAAGTAAACATGAATTATTAGCTAACTCTAACTTGATCCTCATAAATTAGGATTTAAAAAATACACCGTTGGATTGGGGTAGCCAATATTTTATTTAAAATTTTTTGCATTAATATTCACTCTGTTTTCTTTTCTTTCACTTTCCTTAACCTGTTTTCTCATTATGATTATACTAGCCTCATAAAATAAATCAAGCAGCTTTCCCTCCTTTTTCTATTTTCTATTTTATGGAACAACTTGTATAACATAAGGCTTCTCTGTTCAACATATGGTAAAACTTGGTGCCTGGAGTTCAGTAGAGCCACTTTTCTTGTATTCAAGAAAACTTTATATACAAATGTTTATGTAATTTTCTATTTCTTCGTATGACATTTTACATTTTCTGGAAATTTATCCTTTTCTACCCAAGTTTTCAAATGTATTAGTGTATAGTTCTTGAGACTGTTGCTTGCCTACCTAATATCCATTTCCCCTCTTCTTTACCCACATTATGTCCCTGGCAGCAATTGTGTTCAAGTAAAATGTTCACCTTACCAGACTCTGCACCTTAAAATGTTCACCTTATCAGAAATTCTGCGAAGGATGTCTGGTAAAGATTTCTGCTTTCCAGATGTAGCCTCTACCTCCTCCTCTTCCCTTTCCTTAGAGGAGAAACAGCCATCTTGCAACCATGAGGTGAAAAGCATGAGCAAGAAAGTGCTATACTCAGTTGAACACAGTCCTTTTTGCTTAGTTACTCTTATCAGAGGTTTGTGTTTACTGTTCTCCCCCCAACCCCCCAGAAAAAAGGCTAGTTTTGGTTTAGCTAATTTCATCCATTGTCTTTGCTCTCTCTTTTTATTTCTTCCATGATCCTTATTAGTTCCTTCATTCTCATTTCTGTGGGTTCACTCCATTGCTCTTTTTTTTAACTTCTTGAGTTACACACTTACCTTTTTGTTCTGAGTATTTTTTATTTTCTAATAAGCATAGTCATAAATTTTAAATTCTTTTATGTACTGCTTTAGTATAAATGTTGACATTGTGATTCAGCACACACTTTGACATTATAATTTGGTTCTAAGTATTTCATAATTTCCCTTGTCATTTCCTCTTTAGCCCAAAGTTAATATTAATTCTTCCCAGAAATGTGATATTTTTAAGTGCCCGTTTTATAATGAATTCTAACTTTACTTCACTATAATTGGAGGATGTAATTTCCTCATAATTCATTTTTTGTAATTGATGGATATTTCCTTTGTTAAGTATAAAAGCATATGTTTGTGTGTGTATGTTTTAGTTCAAAATTATTAAATATATTATTCAAATATTCTATCTTGCTTATCTTTGGCCTTCTTGATTCATATTCTGAAAGAGCTGTGCTAAAATCTCTGCATATAATTGTTCATATATCTATTTCCCCAGTATACATTTTGAGGCTACATTGTTGGATGCATATGTGTTTATGATTGTTATTTCTTCTTGATTTATTATCCCTTGTTAGTATATAACATCTCTATTTGTCCTGTATGTTATTTTTGCCCTAAATTAATTTTTCTTCTGATGTTAAAATTGCTACCTTGGAGTTCTTTCTTTTTTTAATGTGCCTAGATTTTTTTAACCTTTTACTTTCCAACTTTGCATAAATTATCTTTTGCTAACAGTATTTTATTGGATTTTGTTTTTATATTCAATCAGAGTCTCTTTATTTTGATTTCTGGGTTGAATTAACCTATATTTATGTTAATTAATGTTATCTTGGAACTTATTTCTGCTGTCTCGTTTTGTGTTTTCTATTTACTGTACTTTCTTTTTACTGCTTTCCATCCTCTTTGGGATAATTCAAAATTGTTTTCTTCCATTGAAATGTTTGGATTTTATACTTTCCATTGACTATGTTAAATTTGTTTTTTAGAATATAATACATTCTATGTATACTTTTCTCATTGTTGACCCTAACTTATTATGACCCTTACTTATGTTTATTCTTTCCCTTGTCAACTTCTTAAGCTTAACAGCATTTTAAGCTTAATAACTCTTCCTTAAACAGAACAAGTGCATTGGCATACTCCCATCACCCTCTAGACTTTCCTACTAACAGTTTCCCACTCCTCTTCCCTACCATGCTTCTGGTTTCGGGTTATATTTCTGAATTATCTATGATATATAAATTTTTCAGGAGGAGGGATTGCTAATTTAGGTAACAATATACTTTTGTAAGATACGTTTCTCCCCTTTACCTTGCATATCTCATTACTTCATCTTGTATTCATTTCCCATCTTACTGGGGTACTTCTCTTTTTAAAATGCTATCAAGGGAGATTGCCTTCTAAAATGGTGAAATGAGGAACTTGGTGAGCCATTATCCCTTAAAAACAACAAAAATACTGGCAAAAACAACTCAAATCAACCATTTCAGAACTTTGGAAGTATACCAAAGCCACAGAAGGAACTGAAAATCATCCATCCAAGAGAAAAATACTGAACTTCAATAAGACAATGGTGTCTGTGGCATTTTAACTTGAAGCTATTCCCATCCTCTCTCCCTCTCCAGCTTGGTGGCCCAGTAGCCATGAAAAGCCAGCAGACATGGAGCTAATGGAGATGACTGACCTCTTTTGGAGCTCCATTAAAAGCCCCATGCCTAGAGCACACTCAATATTTTGTCCAAATTAGCAGCTACCTGGAAAATCTCTGTTCCCAAGATGTTGTGGCTATTTCATTTGATTCACAACTCAGCTCATGGACAAAAACAACAACAACAACAAAAAAGCTGTCCCAGGGCATTGCCAAAAACAATAGCAATCTGATGGCAATATCTCAGCTGCCTAAGTCTGTGACTCTGGTTGCAGCAAACAAGAGCCTGGCCAACAGCAATAAAAATTTAAAAGGAAGCTCTTGAGAACTAGAAAACCACAGGGAACTTTAAAAAGCTCCAACATATTCCTGGGGATGTAGAAGGCTGTACTCATATGCATGCTTGGGAAAGACCTTGGAAAGAAGAAGGCCCCACTCATTCACCTCTGGCTGAACCTGAGTCCCTGTACAAGCAAAAAGTGAAAGCTAAGGCTGTCTTATAAACTACCTGAAGTGTGAAGCTGTGCCTTCAGCTACAGATCCCCTTGGCAAATGGTGAAAGATATACAGACAAAGCATTTAGGGAAATCTTCAGACCAATCATTATTGGCTGACCACTAAATTATACTGACCTAGGACTGAACCCTAGGAAACCAGACTTAAAAATGAAAATAATAACCCTTCTTTAAAATGCTAACAGAGAACTCAGGACCTGCATATTGCAGGGAATATAGAATCTACAGAATTAGTCCAGGAAAGGCACTAAGCACATAAGAAGCAAACAGGAAAGCAATGACATAAAAAGCAGCAATAGCAACAAACCTGGGGGAGGGTATCTCATACCATGTTGTTACAATATACTATCTATCTTAGTCTGTCATATTGCTATGACAGAATGCCTGAGACTGGGTGGGTAGCTTATTTTTAAAAAGATAGTGGGCCTAGTGGCTCATTCCTATAACCCCAGAACTTTGTGAGACTGAGGCAGGAGCAGTGCTTAAGCCCAGGAGTTCAAGACTAGTCTGGGAAACATAGTGAGACTCCATCTCTACAAAAAAAATAAAATACTAGCCAGGCATGGTGGTTCACATCTGTAGTCCCAGCTACTTAGGAGGCTGAGGTGGGAGGATTGCATGAGCCAAGGAGGTCAAGGCTACAGTGAGTTGTGATTGCACCACTGCATTCCATCCTGGGTGACAGAGCAAGACCTTGTCTCAAAAAAGAGAAAGGAAAAAGAAAATAGGTTTATTTGGCTCATGATTTTGATGGCTAGAGAGTTCAAGATTGGGCATCTCTATTTGATGAGACCTTGGGCTGCTTCAGCTCATGGCAGAAAGCCAGGGGGAAGTGAGCATGTGCAAAGAGATCACATGGCGAGAAGGGGAGCAAGAGAGAGGAATCGAGGAAATCAGACCATTTTAAACAACGTGCTTTCATGGGAACTAATTGATTCCCACAAGACGGAAAACTCACTAACCCCCATGGGAAAGCATGAATATATTCATGAGGAATCCACCCTCACGACCCAAACATCTCCCACTAGGCCCACCTCTCAACACTGCCACATTGGGGATCAAATTTCAGCAAGAGTTTGGACGAGGACAAAATATAACCGAGCCATAGCACTATCAAAAATGTTCAGTTTCGGCCGGGCGCAGTGGCTCACGCCTGTAATCCCAGCACTTTGGGAGGCCAAGGTGGGCAGATCACGAGGTCGGGAGATGGAGACCATCCTGGCTAACATGGTGAAACCCCATCTCTACTAAAACTACAAAAACTTAGCCGAGCGTGGTGGTGGGCGCCTCTAGTCCCACCTAGTCGGGAGGCTGAGGCAGGAGAATGGTGTGAACCCAGGAGGCAGAGGTTGCAGTGAGCCGAGATCATGCCACTGCACTCCAGCCTGGGTGACAGAGCAAGACTCCATCTCAAAAAAAAAAAAAAAAAAAAGTTCATTTTCATCAGTAATTTATAAGACATGCAAAGAAACAGAAAAGTATACCACATACACAGTTAAATAAACAGCCGTCAGAAAATATCCCTTAGGGCACACAGATGTCAAGTTTAGTAGACAAAGACTTTAAATCAACTATTTAAAATATGTTCAAAGAATGAAAGAATACCATGCCTAAAGAATTCAAGAAAAAGATGACAACAATATCTCACCAAATAGAGAATATCAACAAAGAAATAGAAATTACCCCCAAAAAAGCCAAATAGAAATCCTAGAGTGGAGAAATACAATAACTGAAATGAAAAATTCACTAAAGGGGATTGATAGCAAATTTGAGCTGTCAAAAGAAAGAATTGGCAAAGTCAAAGATAAGTCAGTAAAGATTATCTATCTGAGGAACAGAGTAAAAACAGAATGAAGAAAAATAAACACAGCCTCAGAGACCTGTGGGATATCATCAAGCATACCAACATATATTTAATGAGTGTTCCAGAAGAAGAAAAGAAGCATAAAGAGAAATAAAAAATATTTGGAGTAATGACTAAAAATTTCCCAAGTGTGGGGAAAACCGCTAGTGTACATACCTCAAGAAGCTTAACAAACCCCAACTAGAAAAACTCAAAGAGATCCACACTAGACACATCATAGTCAAGTGGGTGAAAGTCAAAGACAAAAAGAAAACCTTGAAAACAGCAAGAGGAAAACAACCTATTGTGTCCAAGAGATCTTCAGTGAGATTGACAGCTAACGTCTTATTAGAAATCATGAAGGCAGGAAGACTGGGATGACAACTTCAATGTGTCAAAAGATTCTCAATCAAGAATTCTCTATACAACAAAACTCTACTTCAAAAATAAAGATGTTAAGATATTTCCAGATAAACAAAAACTGAGAGCACTCATCACTAGTAGAGCTTATCAGAAATACAAAAGGGAGCCCTTCAGGCTGAAATGAGAGGACATTAGACAGTAACTTGAATCCACATGAAAAAATAAAAAGCACCAGTAAAGGTTACTAAATGGATAAATATAAAAGGCAGTATAAACATATTTTTGTTTATAACTCTTCTCTCTTTCTGATTTAACTCTTTCTCTTTTTAAAATCAACTGCATAAAGCAATAATTATAAAACTGTACTGATAGCTGTATAAAGTATAAAGATGAAATTTGCATAACCATATTGGCACAAAGAAGCAGGGAGGGAACGGAGGTATATTGGAGCAAAGATTTTGTAGATTACTGAAATTAAGTTAGTATTAATTTGAAGTAGTTTTTTTGGAAATTAAAATGCTAATTGTAATCCCTAGGGCAGACACTAAGAAAGCAATTTGTTAAATGGTTTCAAAGAAGATCTTGATGTGGTAAATGTTTTGAGAATTTATGTGCCTGAAAATATTTTTAATTCATAATCACATTTTAATAGTAGTTAGAATGCATACAAAATACTAGGTTTTGAAACGCTCTTGTCCTTCAGTCATTTGAAAATATTACTCAATTGTTTTCAGTTTGATGTTGAGAAGTTTGATGTCAATGTGGTTATTGTTTCTTTTTCTCTGGGAGCTTTTAGAATTTTCTGTCTCAACAACGACTAAATAATAGCATATTTAGGAATGAACTTAACAAAAAACGTACAAGACCTATATAAAGAAAACTTTAAAATTCTATTGAAAGACAAAAAAAGAAGACTGAAACAAATGAAAAAGTTTAGTTGAAAAGAATGAATAAGACCTTGTATTTGATAGCACAATAGGATGACTATAGTCAATAATAATTTAATTATACATTTAAAAATAAGAGTATGATTGGATTATTTGTAACACGAAGGATAAATGCTTAATAGGCTAGACAGCCCATGTTACATGATGTGATTATTATACATCGCATGCCTATATCAAAGCATCTCGTGTACCTCATAAATATATACTCCTATTATGTACCCACAAAAGTTAAAATTAAAAATTAAAACAGGCCTTGGCTAGGCACAGTGGCTCATGCTTGTAATCCCAGCACTTTGGGAGACTGAGACGGGTGGATCACTTGAGGCCAGAAGTTCGAGACCAGCCTGGCCAACATGGCGAGACCCTGTCTCTACTAAAAATACAAAAAATTAGCTGGGCATGGTGACACATGCCTGTAATCCCAGCTACTCAGGAGGCTGAGGCATGAGACTCGCTTGAACCTGGGAAGTGGAGGTTGCAGTGAGCTGAGATTGTGCCACTGCACTCCAGCCTGGGTGATAGAGCAAGACTCTGTCTCAAAAAAAAAAAAAAAAAAAAAAATTAAGACAAAAGAAAAAGTTTACCATTTTCAATAGGCGATTCAGCATCACAAAGATGGTCTACATTCATTTGTACATTTAATGCAGTACTAATAAAAATATTAGCTGGCTGGCTTTTGTTGTTGCTGCTGTTTAGTTGATTGCTCTGTTTGGAACTAGAAAAACTGATTCTAAAGTTGATATGGAAAAATAAACAAGAATAGCTATGAAGACTAAAAGAGAAGTACAGTGAGATTGGACCAGCCCTAAAAGATGTAAAACCACATGAATAGACATACTGACAGAACAGAAAATTTTCATGAAGAAAAGGACTAGTCAGTAAGTGATTTGGAGACAATTGGGCAACCATAGTATGGGAGGGAAAAAAAATGGATTCCTATCTCACACCCTACACCAGGAAAAACTCCAACGGGCTCAAAAACAAAAAGTAAAAAGTGAAACTATAAAATGATATGAAACCAGGCCGGGTGCAGTGGCTCACGCCTGTAATCCCAACACTTTGCGAGGCCGAGGTGGGGAGGATCGCTTGAGCCCAGGAGTTCAAGACCAGCCTGGGCAACATAGTGAGACTCTGTCTCTACCAAAAATACAAAAATTAGCCAGGAGTAGTGGCATGCACCTGTAGTACCAGTTACTCAGGAGGCTGAGGTGGGAGGATCGCTTGAGCCCGGGAGGCAGAGGTTGCAGTGAGATGAGATCATGCCACTGCACTCCAGCCTGGGTGAGAAAGTGAGACCCTGTCAAAAAAAAAAAAAAAAGTATATGAAACCATGAAAGTATTTAAAGAAAACATGGAAGAATTCTTAATAGCTTTGCAATAGAGAAAGCTTCTCTGACTATGACTCAAAAATCCAGAAGCCATAAAAAATATTAATGCATTTGAATACATAAAAAGAAAAAATTATACTGGCCAGGTATAGTAGCTCATGCCTATAATCCCAGCACTTTGAGATGCTGAGGCAGGAGTATCACTTGAGCCCAGGAGTTTGAGACCACCAGCCTGGGCAACACAGTGACACCCCATATCTACAAAAAAATAGAAAAAAATAGGCAGGTGTGATGGCACATGCCTGTAGTTCTAGCTAGTTGGGAGACTGGGGTGGGAGAATCACTTGAGCCTGGGAGGTTGAGGCTGCAGTGAGCCATGATTATGAAACTGCACTCCAGCCTAGGTGACAGCAAGACCCTGTCCCCCCCCAAAAAAAATTCTACCGGCCAGGCGCGGTGGCTCACGCCTGTAATCCCAGCACTTTGGGAGGCCGAGGCAGGCGGATCATGAGGTCAGGAGATCGAGACCATCCTGGCTAACACAGTGAAACCCCGTCTCTACTAAAAATACAAAAAATTGGCCGGGTGTGGCGGTGTGTGCCTGTAGTCCCAGCTGCTGGGGAGGCTGAGGCAGGAGAATGGCGTGAACCCAGGAGGCGGAGCTCGCAGTGAGCCAAGATCGCGCCACTGCACTCCAGCCTGGACGACAGAGCAAGACTCCATCTCAAAAAAAAAAAAAAAAAAAAAAAAAAAACACCTCAGCGTAAGTCAAAACACAAACTGGGAAAAATATTTGCGACCCATTTCATGTCCAAGAGGCTATTCTTCCTGCAAATCTCCTACAAATCTATAAGGAAAAGGCATAGATTTGTAAATAAACTCAATAAACTCATAGGCAAAGGATATCACAGGCAGTTCACAGAAACAGAAAAACAAGTGGGTAGACCCAGAAATCCTACTTTGTGAAATGTATCCTACAGATACACCTGCCGATTCATTAAATGGTATTTATACAAGGTTATCTATTACAAAAAAAAACTGAAAATAGCCCAAATGTCCATCAGTGAGAGACCAGTTACATAAATTAGGGTTTGGCCATACAATGAAAAAAAATTATGCAATTAAAAGCACCTTTTGTGTATTGATATGGAAAAATCCCTAATGTATATTAACAAAATAAAAAGTAATAAAAATATAGAACAGGATCTATATGGAACTTTTTGTATAGAAAGAAAGAAAACTAGGATTATATTCATGTCTGCTCATATTTGCATAAAGAAACTCTGCAAAATATGCCAAAAGTAATACAAGTGGTTATCTATGCGGAAGGGTTGGGAAATGGATGGATAAAAGAAGAAATGAACGTTAGACTTTTCACTATATACTCCTTTTTTGAATCTTTTGAACCATGAGAATCAACTATCTGCCCAACATTAAAAATTGAATTAAAAAGTAATTTTCTATTTGTCTTTGCTATTCTTAAGTTTCACCGTAATATGTCTGGGTCTGGCTAGAATGTTTTGTTTTGTCTTCTTAGATATGAGCTTTTTTTGGTGAATCTGAAGTCTCTCTTGGAAATTCTTGGTCACTTTTTATTCAGATTATTTCATCCTTCTCCATTTTCTTTTTATGAGACTCATCTTACTACTTAAATCTTACATTTTTACCTCACTCCTGTTTCCTAGCTTTTATTCTTTATCTCTTCCTGATGTCTCTAGGAGAGTTGCTAACGTGGTCTTCCACTCGCTAATTGCTCTTTGTCTTTATCCATCCTGCCACTCAGTGTATCCATTGAGTTCTTTAATTCATTCAGTCTTCACATTCAGGATGTCCATCTAATTTGTTCGACAATATTTGGGCTTGCTTCCGCTTCACATTTCTGATACCTTCCCTCATGTCTTTAAACACATTTGTTATGCTTATTTCAAATTTAATTTCGATTCTATTAATTGATTGGTTGTTTCCTTTGATACAGATTGTTCCATTTATCTTTCTCATATGACCGTTGCCCTTCATATGACCGTTGCCCTCCTCAGACATCCCGTTCTTTTTCCTTGTGAGTTCTTGTCCTTGGGACTACCAACTACATTGGCTGCCAATGCATATGTGTCGACTGAGAGAGCCTCTGGTGTTGCAGTCTGAAACCAACCACTTCCCTTTTGTCTCCCCAAATCAGGCAATACTTTTCCTCAGCAAATCTTCCAGAGCCTCTTTCTCAGATATTATTCTTTTCCAAGGGCTGCCTCCCTCTGTTGCAACTGCCTGTTCCATTATATTCATCTGCTCAGGCTGCTGTAACAAAATACCACAGACTGGGTGGCTTCCATAACAGACATTTATTTCTCACTGTTCTGGAGGCTGGGAAGTCCAAGATGAAGGTGCCGGCCGGAACGGTGTCTGGTGAGGGCTCTCCCTTGGGTTTCAGATGGCTGCCTTCTCACTGTGTGCTCACATGGCCTTTCCTCTGTGCGTGAACACGGAGAGAGGGAGCAAGCAAGCTCTCCGGTGTCTCATAAAGACACTGATCCTATGAGATCAGGGCCAATCCTTATGACCTCATATAGCCTTAATTACCTCCTAAAGACCCTGTCTCCAAATACAGTCATATTGGATTAGGATTTCAACATACAAATTTGGGAGTGGCGGTGGGGGATCACAATTCAGTCTATAGCACCTGTGGAAGAGGGCGTAGTCAGCCTTCTCCCACTGGAGGGCCCTTGTATCTGCTGTAACACTGCTCCCTTCTCACCTCGCTGCTCCGAGTTGGCATTAAGTTGGCCCTGGACTAATGCTGTTTTTTTGCCATACAGTGGCAACAGGGTGTGCCGGGGTCTTGCCAGGGCAAAACGAAGGCGACAGATCAACAGTCTGACATCCCCTACTGTTAGGAATAATGCTCAAAATCCTAAGGAAATTGAACACACGAAAAAAGGATTCTTAGCAAAGCAATTTTACTTCTGTGCAGAGGGGTGCCTCCTTGGCCAGTTGCCGTGAGAGCACACCTGAACAAAGGGGCACGAGAGCCTTTATTCCTGACGCAAGTCCTGCCCTGTACCCTTTCCCCATTGGCTGGGGTCGGGTTGTACAATGTAAACTAATCCCGGTTGGCTAAACATTGTTTTTTTTTAGATAGGGTGGGCACGTAAAAGAAAGTGGAGGGAAAGGGGAAGGGGTGTCTGTAATGAGCCAGAAAGTTAGTCCTCTTTCCAAATAAGGAAAGGAATGTGAGCTGGTACTGATAACACCTGGTACTGTGGCGTGCCTGGGCATCTAACAAAGGCAAGAAGGAAAAAAACAGAAAAAGGGAGAAAAATGGGGGGGGGGTTACTATAAATTAAAGAATAAAAGATTGATCAGATTTTTTGAAGAGAAACCTCATCGTATCCCACACTAGTCCCCATCCATAATATCTGTTCCTCTTCTGGAGGAACCTCCAGAGATCAACCTCCCTCCCATTTCTGCAGCATCTCCAGGGACAGGACCCTTTCCTGGTTACAATCTCATAGGAAGCCTGACGTTAGCCTCATTTCAGTTCCCAGCTTCGCCATTGCTGGAGATGAAGTTTAATCTCCAAGTCTCCACTGTTTTTCTTCTATTATCATGAAAAGCTTGGAGTCGATGATCTCAGGTGTTTCTAGCTCCACAATTCTGGGATTCTGTGTGGTAAGTGAAGAAGTGGCAGGTAAGGAACATTGAAATATTTTAAGACTACACAGTTTCCAAGGAGATAAAGAGACAAAGTGGGGGAATACCCAACAAGAGAGAGTTATTAGCAAGAATGGATGTCACATTTAGAAGGTGGAATGTCAATCAAGTTTCAGGAAATAAGAAGGTGAAGGATGTTAGTCGAGGTTCACAAAAGAAAGGGAAAACGACTGATTGAAACGAGATTTGGAGGAGAATCTCCAAGACTGAAGAATGACAAAAATGATTAACCACCATATAAGCAATTGTAGTATTTTCTTTTTAATTTATTATTAAATATTGCATATATAGCAAAAGGTACACATAATAATAATAAGCACCATGTCCCCAGAGCTCAATCTAAACTATTACTCATTACCAATATATAGTAAGCCTCCCCGGTGCCATGTCCTTCCCTCCACCATCACCAGGAGATGGTAACTATTATGCTAAATTTGTTATTCTGTACACTTCCACTACATAGGGATGTGTTCGGGGGCAACATTTTCTTTTTATAAATCAAATTTGGGCCGGGCGAGGTGGCTCATACCTGTAATCCTAGCATTTTGGAAGCCTGAGACAAGAGGATTCCTTGAGGCTGCAAATTCAAGACCAGTTTGGGCAACATGGCGAAACCCCACCTCTGCAAAAAATACAAAAAAAATTTGTAATTTTTTTGTGGTGGCGTATCCCAGTAGTTCCAGCTACTCGGGAGGCTGAGGTGGGAGGATCACCTGAACCCAGGGAGGTCGAGGCTGTAATGAGCCATGATTGCGTCACTGTACTTGTACTCCAGCCTGGGCAACAGTATGAGATGCTGTCTCAAAAAATAAATAAATAAATAAATAAATAAATAAAAGAGAATCAAATTTGAAGTCTGAAGACTGAGAAGTATGACTATTGAAATGCTTCAGATAAAAGAAAGTTGTCCTCGCTGAAGGGGTCTGGGCAAGGAGAAAAAGAAAATGGATGGAATAAGTTGGGGCAGAGCATAAGAAGCTTCCTTTTACCCACTTATGTCTTTCTAGATGAAGAGGTCACTAGCAGTCACTTCCATATGTGGACCTAGAGCATCGGTCAGCTTCCTGGTGAAGGCAGAGAGCCACAGTTCCAGAACACTCAAGGTCAGAAGGAAAGGCGTTATTTCAGCTACTGCCTAGCAGAGCTGTTAGTTTGGACCAGTGGGAGTTCTCTTCTGAGTAATCCCAGCATTGGGAAATTGGTCATGAAAACAGAACAGGAGGCCATTTAACATGTCAGGGACAAGCCACAGCACAGGCTGAGGTTTGAGGCTGGTCTCCAAGACCAGACTTAGGCATGACTGCCCAGTGAGATGAGTACAACCAGTGTTCTGCCTCATCCTTTCCCTGAGAGTGGCCCTTGAAACTGCCTCTGAGGGGTCCTGTCTTCCTCAGCCTCAGCAAACTGCCAAAATGGAATCATAGAATCATTCCATGAAAAGATGGTTGGGTTCAGGGAGGCCACCGGCCTTGCACCGTTGTATTATTGAAAACCCACTGGGGCCATCTTTAGACAACCTAACCCTGCAGCAAACTTAACTAAGCCCTAAACGTTGCCATAACAAACAGATTAAAATTCACTTTCATCGACATTAAAAATAATTTGGGAGGAAAAAAAGGCAAAAAGATTTTTCTAATTTTGCTTTTGAAATTATTTGTCTGAGTAACTCATTTAATTCACAATTTGCTTAGCTTTTTTCCCCAAAAAATCTGTGCATAATTGGGAATTCTCGGGAAGTGAGGAAATTAAATCCACAGATTACTTTCAAATGTGTGAAATGTTGTATGAATGCTAAAGTTAGCAATTCATGAAGCTGGTGTGTTAACATTTGTAAGCATCTAATTAAACATGTATTCTTTATTTTGTGGCTTCCTTTTTGCATTTTAGAGCCAGCGATTATTTTCAAGCTGGAAACACTGGTATAGGCTCCCAAGAAGCTCATAGGGCCTAGGCCCTGTGCCCACAGGCCTGGAGGATCAGCAACCCCGTGAGAAGGTTTTATGGGAGGTACTTGTGTCTGTGGGCACTGACTGGTTCCTTTATCTCAATTCCCCATACCTCCCCACCCATGGTCACTGTTCATTGGTTGTTTCCTCCTCCCACTTCCATAACAGTGAAGAGCTTGTGTTGTTCACTGCTGCATCCCTAGCCCAGAAGAGCATCAGGCCCATCACAGATACTCGACATAAGTATTTGTTGAATGCACGGTCACCTCTGGGAACGGGATTCGGTGGTGGACAAATAGGGCTCCAGATGTATTTCTATTGTTCGAATGATGTATAATGAGAATGTAGTCACTTATTAGCTTTGTAATTAAAAAATAACATAATTTTACAATGAGATGTCACCTTGCATCCATCAGGATGGCTACTATTTAAAAAAAAACAGAAATAACAAGTGTTGGTGAGAATGTGGAGAAACTGGAACCCTTGTGCGTTGTTGGTGAAAATGTAAAATGGTGCAGCCACTGTGGAAAACAGTACGGTTTCTTCAAGAAATTAAAAATAGAATTACTATATGATCTAGCAATTCCACTTCTAAATATATACACTCCATAAAATGGAAGCCGAGTCTTAAAGAGATATTCAAACACCCACATTCATAGCAGCATTATTTGCAATAGCCAAAAAGTGGAATTAACCCAAATGTCCATCAATGGATGAATGGATAAACAAAATATAGTATTAATAGAAGGGGATATTATTCAAGCTTTAAAAGGAAGGGAATTCTGACATAGGCTACCCAATGATGAGCCCTGAAAACACTATGCTAAATGAAATAAGCCAGTCATAAAAAGACAAACACTGTATGATTTCATTTATATGAAGTACCTAGAGTAATCAAATTCATAGAGACAGAAAGTAGAAAGGTAGTTGTCAGAGGCCAGGGGAAGAGCAAAATGGAAAGTTATTCATTAGTGGGAATGGAATTTCAGTTTTACAAGATGAAAATGTTCCTTTATTATTTTTTTTTTTTTTGAGACAGAGTCTTGCTCCGTTGCCCAGACTGGAGTGCAGTGGCACGATCTCGGCTCACTGCAACCTCCGCCTCCCGGGTTCACGCCATTCTCCTGCCTTAGCCTCCCAAGTAGCTGGGACTACAGGCACGCGCCACCACGCTCGGCTAATTTTTTTGTATTTTCAGTAGAGACAGGGTTTCACCGTGTTAGCCAAGATGGTCTTGATCTCCTGACCTCGTGATCCGCCCACCTCAGCCTCCCAAAGTGCTGGGATTACAGGCGTGAGCCACTGCACCCGGCTGAAAATGTTCTAAACATTGGTGGCACAATCATGTGAATAATACCTAACAATACTGAACAGTACAGTTAAAAATGCTTAAGAAGGCAAATTTGTTGTTATGTATATTTTACTACAATTAAAAATAAACAACATTTAAAAATACAATTCTAAATGTAAATATAATTTTAAGTGCAGGAGACTTTTTTAAAGAAAACACAAAACTCAGGAAGATAAAAAGAATGATCAACAGATTCAGCTAGATAAATATTTTACATTTCTGGCCAGGCGCAGTGGCTCATGCCTGTAATCCCAACACTTTGGGAGGCCAAGGCGGGTAGATCACGAGGTCAGGAGATCGAGACTATCCTGGCTAACACAGTGAAACCTGGTCTTTACTAAAAAATACAAAAAAATTAGCTGGGCGTGGTGGCAGGCGACTGTAGTCCCAGCTACTTGGGAGGCTGAGGCAGGAGAATGGTGTGAACTCGGGTGGCGGAGGTTGCAGTGAGCCGAGATTGTGCCACTGCACTCCGGCCTAGGTGACAGAGTGAGACTCTGTCTCAAAAATATATATATATATATTTTACATTTCTATGATAAAAGATAACATAAAATTAAAAGACAAACAGCAGGCTGGCAGAAAATATCTGCATATATATGTTGCACATTGTTCATCATACAGGAAAACGTTTTTTTTTTCTGAGACAGAGTCTCACTCTGTCGCCCAAGCTGGAGTGCAGTGGCACAATCTCGGCTCACTGCAACCTCCGCCTCCCAGATTCAAGCAATTCTTTGGCCCCAGCCTCCCAAGCAGTTGGGATTACAGGCACCTGCCACCACACCCAGCTAATTTTTTTGTATTTTTAGTAGAGATGGGATTTCACTATGTTGGCCAGGGTGGTCTCGAACTCCCTTCTGCAGGTGATCCACCAGCCTCGGCCTCCCAAAGTGCTGGGATTACAGGCATTAGCCACTGCATCTGGGCCATAGAGTAAAACTATTTATGGGAGGAGGTAAGTATGTTTGGTTTAGTTAGTATAAATCAAATTACTGAAGTCAGTGAACTCTGAGGACACACACTTGACAGACACACAAGATAAGGAGGAAGAGGTTGCAAAGTGTTGATGTTTGTGTAACCACAAGCATGGCTGAGTCTAGAACATGATTAGTATTCAAGCAAATGGAACCGTGCAGGTATTGTTACAGATTACCTTCATTCTAGGACCTTTCCTTCTGTCACTAATACCACAAACCACATACAAATGAGGCAAGTAAGATCTGGGAGGAATTTGAGAAGCGTTTGTGCAATGTCCAGGGGTAAACTTATAATGGGATGAACTTAGGGAGTTAACAAGAGTCTGCACTGACCCTGAACACTCCACACATTCTTGGAATGGCCGGGCACAGTGGCTCATGCCTGTCATCTCAGCACTTTGGGAGGCCCAGGTGGGCAGATGGTTTGAGCCCAGGAGTTCAAGACCAGCCTGGGCAACATGATGAAACCACACCTCTATAAAAATACAAAACTTAGCCAGTTGTGGGGGTGCACACCTGCAGTCCCAGCTGTTAAGGAGGCTGAGGTGGGAGGATTGCTTGGGCCTGGGAGGTCAAGGCTGCATGAGCTGTGATCATACCACTGCACTCCAGCCTGGGCAACAGAGCAAGACCCTGTCTCAAAAAAAAAAAAAAAATGGGGAGGGGGGACTGAAGATATGTTGTATCTATCTCCCAATGATGTAGTCACAGGGTAAACAAACCAAATATTGCCCCACCTCTCCTGTTTAGTACCATCTCTGCTTTTAGAGAATCCCAAGCTTAGAAGGAGAGAAAGCTAATTCTTCTGTTGACTTGGTGAATCAGCCTGGGCACCTCGCTATTGGTCAGCCTGCCATGGATTGCTGCATTGATTGCCTTCCCTGTCACTTGCTGCATCCAATGACGGTCCAATCAATCCATTCAAAAGTATTAGGATGAATAGAAGTGAGCATCAAAAATATAGGATTACATTCGAGAACACAGAAAGGTCTTCTATAAATCAATAAAAATGCAAAGCAACTTGATTTTTAAAATATGCATCAAATGTGAATAAGATACCGAAGAAAAAATGGCTGTATACAGATGTATAAGTTCACCTATCAGACTGGCAAAAGTTTAAGAGATTGATAACATACTATATTGGTGAGTGTCTTAGTCAGTCTGGGCTGCTCTAACAAATTACCATAGACTGGGAATCTTAAACATTTCTTTCTCACAGTTCTGGAGGCTGGGAAGTCCAAGATCAGGGTGCCTGGAGAGGCAGTGTCTGCTGAAGTTCAGCTTGCTGGTTTGCAGATGGCTGTCATCCTATTGCTCCCTCACATGGCAGACAGCAAAGAGAGAGAAAGCAAGCTCTTTCTTTTCTAAGAGAGAGGGCACTAAACCCATCGTGAGGACACCACCCTTAGGAGCTAATTACCTCCCAAAGGCTGAATATCCAAGTACCATTACGTTGGAGATTACGGTTTGATATGGTTTTTCTGTGTTCCCATTCTAATCTCAACTTGAATTGTATCTCACAAAATTCCCACATGTCATGGGAGGGACCCAGGGGGAGGTAACTGAGTCGTGGGGGCCGGTCTTTCCCATGCTATTCTCCTGATAGTGAATAAGTCTCAGGAGATCTGAAGGGTTTATCAGGGGTTTCCGCTTTTGCTTCCCTTTCATTTTCTCTTGCCGCCGCCACGTAAGAAGTGCCTTTCACCTCCTGCCATGATTCTGAAACCTCCCCAGGCATGTGGAACTGTGGGTCCAATTTAAACCTCTTTCTCTTCCTAGTCTTGGGTATGTGTTTATCAGCAGCGTGAAAACGGACTAATATAGGGTTTCAACATATGAATTTTGGGGGCACAGATTCAGTTCACAGCACTGAGGAGCAGGGAAATGAAGACTCTACATTTTGGGTTGGAATTTAAACTTGTGAATTAGACTGGTAAAGTCTTCAGAGGCTCAGATATGATGTGTGAGCCTTGTGACTTCTGAGGATGAAGGCTGTGTTCTGGCAGCTCTCTCACCAGTGGCAAAAAACAGAAAAGTATCCTTTCCATTGGATATCCTGCTACAGAATGAATTTTCACATTGAACATTTAATTTCCCATTTAAATAAATCCACCTGGAATTTGATTTGTATATGTCTGTTTTCCAAATAATGAGCTAGTTGTGATCGCATGATTTGTGGCTTAATCTCTACTTTCCCCACTGGGATATGCCATGACAGCATTTAATGCATTCCTATAGAAACTTGGGTTTATTCTGAACTTTCTATTCTCTTGATTGTATCAAGGATCATAAACTGGGACCCTGTAACCCGTTTCAGGCCTCCAGATCCAGATTTGTGTTTGGTCTTGTTTTGGTTTTGGTCAGAAGTGTCTTTGAAAATTGTGGATTTTCATGCCTTTAGGCAGCTCACAAAGTCAGGGCTATCTTAGAGCAAGATACTTGCCCAAGCTCTTAGAGCACTTGAGGATTTTGCCGGAGTGACACTAGCAACATGCTGTTTTAACACTTTCACCTTAGAACACATTTTGGTGTCTGGCAGTGGACATTCCCTCTCATTCTTCTTTTGTGATGGTTCCTTAAGTACTCAATTCTCTAGATAAACTTTTACATTGTTCTGTCAACATCTGCGGGGGGAAAAACTCTTTGAGATTCTGATTGCAATCGCATTAAATTCCTAAATTCATTTGGATTGAATGTACAGTTTTACCATATTGAAACATCATTTAGACATTTTGTAAGTCTCTATTCAGTTCTTTTATATTCTCAGTGAAAATTTTTAGTGTTTCTTCTTTTAATTGAGATGCAGTCTCACTCTGTCACCCAGGCTTGAGTGCAGTGGCGTTAACTCGCCTCACTGCAGCCTTCGCCTCCCAGGCTCAAATGATCCTCCCACTTCAACCTCCTGAGTAGCTGGCAGTACAGGCATGCGCCACCACACCCAGGCTAGTTTTTTATACTTTGGTGGAGACAGGGTTTCGCCAAGTTGCCCAGGCTGGTCTTGCACTGCTGCGCTCAAGCAATCCTCCTGCCTTGGCCTCCCAAAGTGCTGGAATTACAGTTGTGAGCCAATGTTAGGGGGCTTGTCGACCAGCATACAGGGGCCTTGGAGGCTGCTTCAAAAGTTCCCACTAAGCCAAGGATACAAAGCCTGGTGACAGCCCTCCCATGTGAGGCCCAGGTCTTACTTACCTCGCTCAAAAAATCTTTCCTGCTCATTTCATTCGAGAGTGATTTTGCTTTCTTTGGGATCTCTATTGCGCTGCCCCACCCAGAGAGTTCCAAATCTGAATGGACTCCAATGATGAAGTTAAATCAGCCCCCACCTCAGTCCTTTGGAATTAGAATCTGTGGGGCTGGGTCCTGGCATCTGTATCTTAATGTTCCTAGTTGAGATCCTTAGGCTGAAAGGCTGGTATTTGCAAAGCACTTCTTCTCCTCCAAACTCAGCCTCCGAACTAGCTGGGACTACAGGTGTGTGCCACCACACCAGGCTAATTTTAAATTTTTTTGGAGAGACGGAGTCTCACAACGTTACTCAGACTCATCTCCAACTCCTGGGTTCAAGTGATTCTCCAGCCTTGGCCTCCCAAAGTGTAGGGATGACAGGCAGGAGCCACCATGCCAGCCAATAAAGCCCTTCTGTTTCACTCTAATGATATCTTTGGTGCATAGCTACAGCCATTGTTGTATTAACCTGCATCACTGAAGGAAAAGAGAAGGGGAGAAGTGATAGTTTTGCTTTTCCCTGAACATATCAGATGAAACCTGAACTGTTTAGCTCATTTTTGGACAATGTATTGACATAATTTAAGATGGCTGCCTTATTGTAGCCTGTCTACAGAAGGTGCCTAGAAGACAGAGGAATATGTAAAACTGGCTTGAAGAGTGATTAATCAGAACTTTACGTGGTACAGAAGAGAAATTTTAATGGCAACAGAATATTGATCTTCTAATGTTTGAAAGCCTATTAAATAGGAGAGAAAGATGATTTTCTGTTTTGTTGTAAAAGGATCCAACCAGTTCTGATGGTTGAAAGCATCGTGAATGCGAAGGTCCACTCAATGTAAGCAGAGTTTCCTAACAATTGGACTTCCACAGCGACGGGATCTGCCTCCTCATTCAGTTGTGCCTTTCCCATCAGCGAGAGACTCCTAGGAGCCCATTAGGAAGCTGTGCCAGAACTCACAGGTTCTTTGGATGGTATCTGAGATAGTATCCAGCTCTTACATTTTTATTTTTTCCGAAAAAAATATTTTTGAGACTGAGTCTCACTCTGTCCTCCAGGCTGGTGTGCAGTGGTGCAATCATAGCTCACTGCAGCCTCAAACACTTGGGCTGAAGCAATCCTCCTGCCTCAGCCTCCCAAGTACTGGGACCACAGGTGTGTGCCACGATTCCTGATTACTTTGTTTATATTTTGTAGAGATGACGTTTTGCTATGTTGCCCAGACTAATCTTGAACTCCTAACCTCAAGTGACGCCCTGCCTTGGCCTCCCAAAGGAGGGAGATTATGAGCAGGAGCCCCTGGGCCTGGCTGAGATTTTCCCCTTAGTCTTTTTATACACAGGATATTTTATTCATAAAATACATAAATAGTAGGCAAATTTTGGGGTCAAGTGAAATAGATATGTTGTAATAGTTGATATATAGACCAGAGTTCCTTAGCTGAACTGGAGGGCAGGCTTTAGGTGATCCATGGATGCCCTGAACTTGTGGACACCATTGAAAATCTGTACGAAACCATGGACAGTCTCCTGTGATTTTCATTCCTCAAAATGTCTCTTGGACTCAAAGATGCCTGAGAGCAAAGGATGCATGTTCCCCTACTATAGGATCCAGGATAGTGAATATCAGTAAACATTCAGCAAAAAAGCTTTGCCACATTGAGTACTTCGACGTAACGTCTCCATTCAACAAGTCAATTTACCCAGGATCTCCTGTATATGTTAATCTCACTCTTGGAAGGACTCATCATTCTGCTTACCCTAAATTTCCTTCCACCTTCCTCCCTCTCTCACCAGACTAGACTCTGAAATGGGAAGGAGAAGCGGGGAGGAGAGCCCAACACCCCCTCAAGTTTAGAGTGGAGAGGACACAGCCTCTGCTGGGACAGGGAAAAGAGGAATGTGGAGACCCTGAGGATGCTTTTGGACAATGCTCAGAGGTTGGGACATTGCCAGGAGATACCGTTCACCCCGGATCTCCAAGAAAAGAGATCAGTCTGGCAGTTACATGTGTTTTTCTTCAAAGTAGTTGCCAGTTTGGAATGACCGATGACATCAGAGATTCCGACTTTCCTGATTGGAAGGACCGGACTCTGGTTGCTTGGGAGTTCAGGTGGACAACAGCAACTTCTCAGAACTACTCTTCACTCCTAACTTCTCCCGAGCCTCTAGAAGAGAAACGCACTCTTCTGGGTCCTAACGGAGTCTGGAAGAAGGCTTTGGACAGAACAGGGACTAGGTTTTGTGGACAGAAACAAAGTGTTTGGGAGAGATTATGGCCAGTGGTCAAGCGCGCCCCCCGTTTGAGGAGGAGAGCCCCCAGCCTAGCACAACGGTACGGTCCCCCGAGGTGGTGGTGGATGATGAAGTGCCAGGACCATCAGGTGAGGTGACTGGAGGGAGAAGCGATGGGAGATGATTGACTGAGGAGAGGGAAGGGGGCCAGTTACTGGGAATCTGAAGCACCTGAGTAGGGTGTGTGGGAAAGAAACGACGGACTCAGGAAGCCAGGGATCGGGGAAGGAGGGTGCAGGGAATGGGGCCAAGCATGGCCACGTGTAAAGAAAGTCTGGGGAGCAATGAAGGGGGTCAGGAGATGTGCTCAAAAGATGAGAGAGGAAGGCCGAGGCGGACGGATCACGAGGTCAGAAGATCGAGACCATCCTGGTTAACACGATGAAACCCTGTCTCTACCAAAAATACAAAAGTGAGTTGGGCATGGTGGTGCGTGCCTGTAGTCCCAGCTACTCAAGAGGCTGAGGCAGGAGAATCATTTGAACCCAGGAGGCGGAGGTTGCAGTGAACCAAGATTGTGCCACTGCACTCCGGTCTGGGCAACAAGAGGGAGACTCCATCTCAAAAAAAAAAAAAAGAGAGAGAGAGAGAGAGAGCAGACAGAGCTCAAGGGAAGGTTTCCATTTTTCTCCAATTGAAAGTTCTTATCTGTGATGAGGAAATGTTTTGAGGACAGAGAGCCGGAAGAATGGGGAGGTGAGGGAGAGGCAGATGGGGATCAGCAAAGGAGAAAGGTGGAAACATGGCTTGGAGAAGCTGACAGTCTGCGAGGCTTGGGAGGATGGAAGAGTAGTTTGAGGTTCCTGGGTCGGGGCGTCTAAGGTGATCAATGGCAGAAACATGACACCATGGCCTGGTTTCTTCACTCAGCCCCTTGGATAGATCCCAGCCCCCAGCCTCAATCCCTTGGCCTGAAAAGGAAGAGCGAATGGTCAGACGAATCCGAGGAGGAGCTGGAGGAGGAGCTGGAGTTGGAGCGCGCCCCTGAGCCCGAGGACACCTGGGTGGTGGAGACGCTGTGTGGGCTCAAGATGAAGCTGAAGCGAAAGCGAGCATCCTCCGTGCTCCCTGAGCACCACGAGGCCTTCAACAGGCTCCTTGGTAGGAGGATACCCCAAAAAGCACCTCCAACCCTGTTCTTTTAAAAAAGTGGAATCTTTCAATAATCACACTTTCCCAATAAGAAGAATATGCCCTCCTGGGGGATGAGCGCTCCATGCAGGAGGAGGATGCTTAGGAGATAGAGGATTAGGCTAGTCTTAATAAAGGTCTGCACTTGAAATAAGAAAGCTTGGTTTCTGGCCAGGTGCAGTGGCTCATGCCTGAGATCTTGGTGCTTTGGGAGGCTGAGGCGGGAGGATCTCTTGAACTCAGGAGTTTGAAGTTGCAATGAGCTATGATTGCACCACTGCACTCCAGCCTGGTTGACAAGGAAAGACCCTGTCATAAAATAAATAAAATAAAATAAAATAAAAGATAAAAGAAAGCTTGGTTTCAGCTGTACCCTCTGAAACTCTATGTCTCTTGATGACTTTTCTAAACCTAAGTGTCTCCATCCGTGGAGGGGGATAACAAGGCCATGGGCACACCCAGCTGTGACTATCTCAGGAAGCAATGATGGGAATTCTATTATGACTTCTGCAGTGGTCCCTTCCTGTCTGATGGGAGGACATCATGGCTTATTCACAGCTCTTCATCCTGTAGACTCTGACACCAGAGGCCTCCTTCGGCCTCTCCTCAGGGGAATCTCAGAGCGGGAGCCTCCCTCCTTGCCCAGTGAAAGTCCTTCTCTCCTCTCCCATCCACCTAAGCCTTGGCCACAATCCTGAGACTTCCCCCAGAGGGACACAGTTCTCCTCTCTGCTCTGCTGCTCCCACGGCAACCCTGTTCCACTTCTCACCCTGACACAGGCTCTCTTTTCACAGGGGATCCTGTCGTTCAAAAATTCCTGGCCTGGGACAAAGACCTGAGGGTGTCAGACAAGGTAAGGTTGTTCTCCACTCAACTGTGTTCCTGCTTTAACACACGTCCTGGGGAAGGGTGCAGCGTCTAAACCCACAGTTTCTCTCCTCTCTCCCTCTACCATCTCCCACCTGCTGATTCCATACTCTTGGGCGCCCACATTTTGATTTTTATTTTTTCAGAAACAGGGTCTCGTTCTGTTGCCCAGGCTGGAATGCAGTGTTGCCATCATAGCTCACTGCAGCCTCAGCCTCCTGGGCTCAAGTGATCCTCCCGCCTCGGCCTCTCCAATAGCTGGGACTCCAGGCGTGAGTCACCGCCCCCAGCTATTCTAGGTCTTCTCATAATTTGTCAGCATCTCCCTCGGGGCTCTGGTAGCCTGTTGCATAGTTGATGGGTGGCCCCTGCCTCTGCACAGGGTCCTTTGGAATCCAGGCCCTGGGCCAGTCTTGAAACTCCTGACCCCTATCCTCTCAGATCTTTGGGACAGTCCTTTGCCCCAGCTCACCAAGACCCTCCTGACATTAGCAGCCCTAGACACTCTCCCTCCAGTGATCCCACTGGAGCTCATCATCATGGGAGCATCACAGACCTCCCTCCCTCCGACTTCCCGGATTTGCAGCTGACTTTGAACACTCTCCACCCGCAAGCCCCCAATGAGCATAGTCACCCAACACTGAGGTTCCTTCTGTGATAGACAACCGCGCCCCAGCCCCTGTTCCCTTCTCTCCACCATCTTCCTCTTCCAGGATGTGACCAACCTTTCTCTCTCTCTACTCCCTTCTCTCCATCAGTATCTCCTGGCTATGGTCATAGCGTATTTTAGCCGTGCCGGCCTCTTCTCGTGGCAATACCAACGCATTCATTTCTTCCTGGCTCTGTGAGTAGTTTGCTTCTTCCCATCTGTCAATATCCAACACCCTGGGACAGTGGACGAAGTGGGATTCCAACCTTCCATCTATTTTTTTACCCTACTTCTCCTCTTTACTCTGTATATAAAAACGATAAGATTATACTATGGTGTTCTTAGTCTGTTCTTTCTAAAAACAAACACAAATGCAGTTGACAAATAGTAGAATCAAACAAAAGGAAACATAAACCCGTCCTAAGGGGAAAGGAAAGCCGTGGACACGACCCTGCTCCCCAAGCAAGCAGCCATTTCTGGTTCTCTCGTCTCTCTCCTTCCCATATCAACACCAAATGCAATTTTCCATCCTCCTTCTCCAGGTTCCCATGACAGAGGCAGAAATTCAGGTCGTCCTCGCATAACACAGATCCATCATCAAATACTCCCTGCTGGGCATTCCTGCGAGTCCTGCCCCAAGCCAGGGGGCTTCCTAGTGCTGCCTGAATAGCTTTCCAAAGCACAGCTCCCACCCCCCCTTCACTGCCCACCTGAACAACCTCCTTAGCTGATTTGTCTCTAAACGGAGGCCCGGGTCCACAGGGCTAATTCAACCCTCTCTGCAGTCCTTCTACCACCAAACCTGCCCACCATCTTCATCTTTCCTTGTTTGCTTTCGCCACTCCTTCCAAATGCCCTCCACTCCATTTTGATTTTGTGTTTTCTGTCTGGGTGTCCTGCACACATGTGGATCTGAAGGGAATGACCCATTCCTTAAAGTCAGTTCAACCCCACAGCCTTTGCAATGCCTCCCCTGATCTTCCAGCTTCTGCACGCCCACAGCACTTTAGTGACATCCTAGGATAATGTGACATTTTGGATTCGTTTATCTGCCCTCCTTTTCCCCAAACCCATCAGAGTAGACCCCTGTTGAAGGCAGGGTCTTGTCAAAATATCAAAGTTTTTTGTTTTTATCTTTACCGGACAGAGACTTGCTCTGTCCCTCAGGCTGGAGTGCAGTAGCCAGATCATAGCTCACCGCAGCCTCCATCTCCTAGGCTCTAGTGAAGCTCCCACCTCAGCCTCCTGAGTAGCTGGGACTACAGGTGCATGCCACCACATCTAGCCAGTTTTTATGATTTTTAGTAGAGATGACGTTTTGCTATGTCACCCAGGCTGTTCTGGAACTCCTGGGTTCTCACCTCAGCCTCTCAGAGTGCTGGTATTATAGACATGAGCCACCCAATCAGCCAAAATATCAAAGTATTCCTGAAACACTCAGCACAATTCTTTTCATTTTGCAAGTGCTCATGTTATATTGACTCTATGGAATAATTCATATGGCATTTGCCTATAAGATAAATCTTTCCTTCTTTCCTTCATTCATTCATGTATTCATTTATTCAACAAAACCTTATGAAGTTCATCATATGTGCCAGGGAATAGGAAGGATGGGAAGGGAGAGTTCACAGCAATGCTTGTTGAATTAATGCACCAAGATAAACAAAGCCCTCTAGTGGCCTTTTGGTAGGTGAGAGATGATTTACAGAAACACACCAGTCAGTTCCTGTCCTTGGGGGCACTTATGATGCACGGGGGAAGACAGGTGTGTGCATACATGACAAGGAAGGGGGGTGTGGGAGGAACAGGGATGGGGACTAGGATGAGGTGACGTCATCTGTCTTGTATAAGGATGGCAGGACACATCCTTAGCATAAGACTTGGGTTGTTTTTAAATTCAGAGGGGGTCTTGCCATATTACCCAGACTGGTCCCTAACTCCTGGCCTCCAGTGATCCTCCTGCCTGGACTCCCAAAGTGCTGGGATTCCAAGCAAGAGCCACCACTCCCAGCTACCACTTGGATCATCTCCTTCCTGAAGGTTTGAGAGGCACCCTTAGCAGGTCTCTGTCCAGCGGGGCCTCCTGAGGAAGGCAGGGCTCTCTGCAGGGCGGCTGTTGGTGCTGAGCTGAGGAAGGTCCCCTGCCCTCCTCTCTGAGAGGCTGCCCTCAGGCAGGGGTCCCTCCTGGTGGGGCCCCTGAGCAGCAACCTGATCTCTCTCCCCAGCTACCTGGCCAGTGACATGGAGGAGGACAACCAGGCCCCGAAACAAGACATCTTCTCCTTCCTCTACGGGAAGAACTACTCCCAGCGACCCTTGTTCCATAAGCTTCGATACCAGCTCCTCTGTTCCATGCGCTGGAGGACGTGGGTTTCCCCAGAGGAGATGGAGGAGGTAGGTGGGGCCATATGAGGAGGTGGGGGTGGGGAGGGATGGGGTGGACTGGAGGCTGGAGGAGGGCAGAGAGGGGGCTTCCTGGGGAATCCCTGGCTTCTCAAGTGGTGTGTGTTTTTCCAGATCCAGGCTTATGACCCAGAGCACTGGGTGTGGGCCCGAGATCGCACCCTCATTTCCTAGAGCTCCGGGGACATGGAGGCCTGAGGTCATCGGCCTGAGGGAAGGTACGTGTGTATCCTCCAGGGTAAAGGCAGAATATTCTCATCTATAAGAAAATCCAAGGAACTCAACTGCTTGATCCAGCTTCAAGCCTGGTCAACATGGCGACACCCCGTCTCCACAAAAATACAAAAATTAGCCGGGCGTCCTGGTGGGCGCCTCTAGTCCCCACTACTCAGGAGCCTGAGGCGGAAGGAACACCAGAGCCCCGGAGGTCGGGGCTGCAGTGAGCTGTGATTCTGCCACTGCACTCCAGCCGGGACGACAGAGTGACACTCTTTCTCAAAAATGAGAATACTACCTAGGTCCAGGGAGGTTCATTATGGTTGATACACTTGAGTTACTGATTTGAGGAAAGGATTCAGTGAAGATTTGGTTGACATCTTGTGCAGCTAACCACATTTAGGACCAAGCATTAGACTAAAACATGAGAGATTAAGGTTGGGGATTAGGAATCTGGTCTGCTGGTTCCTGAGGTTGTCGTGTTAGACATGTTTGTAGCATGGTTAAAAGTTTAGATCTTAAGCAATATAAAGGGCCCCAAGTGTGATGAAGTCCAAAGCCACGTCCTCCAAGGGTGCTCTACTCCCTGGGTGGAGCCACCCAAAGTCCTTGCTATGAAGCAGATCACTGGGGCTAACCTTGGGTATATTAAGTGATTTTTGGAGTCAAGCTCACCAAAGTGTGAGTACCAGAATCAAAAATGATGGTTCAGAATCAGGGTTTACAATAAAGGGTTAGAGATAAAATCAGATTTATATATTGCTCTGAACTCTAGTTAGGATTGATGTGGGATGGGAATAACCTTCCTATCTAGAGATCTCCCTCCTTGAAGTGTGACATCCTCTCTCTCACTTCCAGAACACTGGGCCCAGGGGAGATGGGAATTTTCAGCAGGAAGTTTATCGCGACGCTAATGCCAGACACCAGGAAGGGAGAGAGGAGCCTCCTGTGCAGATCATCTAGAAGAAGCTGGACTCTTCTAGAAGGGGCAAAATAGATTGACCAGGTTTTCCTCCTAGGAGCCATGGAGGTATTTCTAGGAGTCAGTGGAGGGAAAGTGAGAAACCAGGGGTGTTTCTGGTTCCACCCCTTCCTGCGGCAAAACCTCCCTTTTCACGTTGCTGAATCCCAGCCTCCCCTGGGCTGGAAGCTGGAGTTCCTGTTTCCTATGGACTTGGTTGCCACAGTCCAGAGCATTTGAAGGCACAGCGCAGGCACTCAGATTGTTACGGAATTCTTTGTAAAATATGAAATTACTGCCATAGGATTTTAAGAGATAGTTTAATAGATACTGTACATTTTGTTGGTTTATTTTTCAAATGTTGGCCATAGAATTATTACTAGGTTGATTTAAAATAGTTTGGGGTTTTTGTAGTTTTGAAAACATGCTGTTCCTATAGAGTTCTCTGACGGTTGTTATATACACATAAATATAATTTAGTTTTCATTTTTAAGAGAGGATTCTTTTTATCGTAAATGTTTTCTCTTTAAATCGTTTTATCTATTATTAAATGTGCTCCTGAAGCGAGCACTCTTGTAATCTATGATACTGACCTAATATATCCATTATATTTATAGCTAGGTGGTAGTTCCCCTACATTCTTGCAAATAGAAATGTTTATTTTCTGTTTACTGTTTGTTACTGAATTGTGAGAATTCAGTTGTGATTTTTAACATGCCTTCCATATATACTAACATGTCCAATATATACTATACATTTTATTTGTTTATTTTGAAAATGATGGGCATGGCATTATTACTACATTTATTTAACTAGTTTAGAAATACAAGTATTTTTTAAAAGACACTGTTCTTATGAAGTTGTGTGATGGGTGTTACACCTGTTATATACACATAGATATAATTCTGTTTTCATTTTTAAGAGAGGATTCTTTTTATCCTAAATGTTTTATTTTTAAATCTTTTTATCTGTTATTACATGTGCTGCTGAAGGGAGCACTGTTATGACCTAGAGTAGTTACATAATATATCTATTCTATTTATAGCTAGGTGGCATTTCCCCGAAATTCTTGTAAAAATAAATTTTTATTTGATGTTGAGTGTTTGTTTGTTATTGAACTGTGAGAATTCAGACGTAATTTTTTAGCTTGTATTGAAAGGTTTGTATGTTACTTTAAAGAGGACATGTGTTTGAAAGGAGGACAGGAGCTGTGTGTTTCAAAGAGGACAGTGCACTGCGCTACCTGGGAAAATGCAATAAAGATGAAGTTTTCTCATCTTCACAACGACTGTGACCATATTGGTCTGGATTGCTTATTTGTTGTCCAATGACATTTTTGTTTAATGCGGTTTTAGTTATTTGAACAAATCTATTAACCCTGGAAAATAATGCTGAATCTTTTTGTTTGTTTGTTTGTTTGTTTTTGAGATGGAGTCTTGCTCTGTCACCCAGGCTGGAGTGCAGTGGCGCAATCTCAGCTCACTGCAAGCTCCACCTCCTGTGTTCACGCCATTCTCCTGCCTCAGCCTCCCAAGTAGCTGGGACTACAGGCACAGGCCACCATGCTCGGCTAATTTTTTGTATTTTTAGCAGAAACGGGGTTTCACCGTGTTAGTCAGGATGGTCTTGATCTCCCGACCTCGTGAGCCATCCGCCTCGGCCTCCCAAAGTGCTGGGATTACAGGCGTAAGCCACCTCCCCTGGCCCTTTATTTTATTTTATTTTATTTATTTATTTATTTATTTGAGACAAGGATCTTGTCCCATTCCCCAGGCTGAAATGCAGTGGCTCAATCTCGGCTCACTGCAACCTCCACCTCCCAAGTTCAAGCAATTCTCTTGTCTCAGCCTCCTGAGAAGCTGGGATTAAAGGCGCCTGCCACCACGCCCAGCTAATTTCTGTATTTTTAGTAGAGGCACCATTTCACCATGTTGGCCGGGCTGGTCTCCAACTCTTGACCTCAGGTGGTCCGTCCCCCTCGGCCACCCAAAGTGCTAGGATTACAGGTGTGAGACACTGCATTGCATTTGGCCCATACAGTAAAACTATTTATGACAGGAGGGAAGTATCTCGGGTTAGTTAGTAGACATCAAATCACTGAAGTCAATGAACTCTGAGGAGATGCTTGACAGACACACAAGATAAGGAGTAGGAGGTTGCAAAGTGTTGATGTTTGTGTAACCACAAGCATGGCTGAGCCTAGAATGCAATTACTATTCCAGCACATGGAACCGTGAAGCTATTGTTACAGATTACCTTCATTCTAGGACCCTCGTGTCACCAATACCATAAACCACATGCAAATGAGGCAAGTAAGATCTGGGAGGAATTTGAGAAGCGTTTGTGCAATGTCCAGGGGTGAACTTATAATGGGATGAACTTAGGGAGTTAACAAGAGTCTGCACTGACCCTGAACACTCCAAACATTCTTGGGATGGCCAGGCACAGTGGCTCATGCCTGTCATTTCAGCACTTTGGGAGGCCCAGGTGGGCAGATGGTTTGAGCCCAGAAGTTCAAGAGCAGCCTGGGCAACATGGCGAAACACACCTCTATAAAAATACAAAACTGGGCCTGGCACGGTGGCTCAAGCCTGTAATCCCAGCACTTTGGGAGGCCGAGGTGGGCAGATCACAAGATCAGGAGATCGAAACCATCCTGGCTGACATGGTGAAACCCTGTCTCTACAAAAAAAAATACAAAAAATTAGCCGGGCATAGTGGCATGCGCCTGTAGTCCCAGCTACTCAGGAGGCTGAGGCAGGAGAATCACTTGAACCTGGGAGGTAGAGGTGGCAGTGAGCCTAGATCACTCCACTGCACTCCAGCCTGGGTGTGACAGAGCGAGACTCCATCTCAAAAAAAAAAAATACGAAACTTAGCCAGGTGTGGTGGTGCACACCTGCAGTCCCAGCTACCCAGGAGGCTGAGGTGGGAGGATTGCTTGGGCCTGGGAGGTCGAGGCTGCATGAGCCGTGATCATACCACTGCACTCCAGCCTGGGCAACAGAGCAGGACCCTGTCTCAAAAAAAAAAAAAATTCAAAACATTCTTGGGGACTGCAGGTCTGTTGTATCTATCTGCCAATGATGTAGTCACAGGGTAAACAGACCAAATATTGCCCACATCTCCTGTTTAGTGCCATCTCTGCTGTTAGAGAATCCCAAGCCTAGAAGGAGGGAAAGCTAATTCTTCTGCTGACTTGGTGAATCTGCCTGTGTGACTGGCTATTGGTCAGCCTGCCATGGATTGCTGCCTGAGTTGCCTTCCTGTCCCTTGCTGCATCCAATGAGGGTCCAACCAATCCACTCAAAAGTATTAGGATGAGTAGCAGTAAGCATGAAAAATACAGGATTACTTTCCAGAATACATAAAGACCTTCTATAAATCAATAAAAATGCAAAGCAACTTGATGTTTAAAATGCGCATGAAACATGAACAGGAGACTCACAGAAGAAGAAATGGCTGTATAAAGATGAGTAACTTCACCTATCAGACTGGCAAAATTTAAGAGATTGGTAATATACCATGTTAGTGAGTGTCTTAGTCAGTTTGTTCTGTTCTAACAAATTCTCATAGACTGGGAAACTTAAAACATTTCTTTCTCACATTTCTGGAGGCTGAGAAGTCCAAGATCAAGGTGCCAGGACAGGCAGTGTCTGGTGAGGGCCCATTTGCTGGTTTGCAGACTGGAAATCTTAAACATTTCTTTCTCATAGTTCTAGAGGCCAGGAAGTCCAAGATCAAGGTGCCAGGAGAAGCAGCATCTGCTGAAAGTCAGCTTGCTGGTTTGCAGATGGCTGTCTTCCTGTTGCTCCCTCACATGGCAGAGAGCAAAGAGAGAGAAAGCAAGCTGTCTCTTTTGTTAAAAGGGCACTAAAGCTATCATGAGGGTACCACCCTTAGGAGCTAATACATCCCAAAGGCTCTATATCCAAGTACAATTATATTGGAGATTAGGGTTTGATATGGTTTGTCTGTGTCCCCATGCAAATCTCAACTTGAATTGTATCTCCCAGAATTCCCACATGTCATGAGAGGGACCCAGGCAGAGGTAATTGAATTGTGGCAGCTGGTCTTTCCTGTGCTATTCTCCTGATAGTGAATAAGTCTCAGCAGATCTGATGGGTTTATCAGGAGTTTCCACTCTTGCTTCCCTTTCATTTTCTCCTGCCACCACCATGTAAGAAGTGCCTGTCACCTCCCGCCATGACTCAGGCCTCCCAGCCATGTGGAACTGTAAGTCCAATTAAACCTCTTTTTCTTTTCAGACTTGGATGTCTTTATCAGCAGCATGAAAACGGACTAAGACAGGGTTTCAACATATGAATTTTGAGGGGGCACACAGATTCAGTTCACAGCAGTGAGGATGCAGGGAAATGAAGACTCTCTACGCTTTGGGTTGGAATTTAAACTTGTAAATTAGACTTGTAAAGTCTTCAGAGACTCACATATGACTTGCGAGATCAAGGCTGTGTTCTGGCAGGTCTCTCACCATTGGCAAAAAAACCAAAAAAGTATCATTCCCATTGAATATCCTGCTACATAATGAATTTTCACATTGAACATTTAATTTCCCATTTAAATAAACCCATCTGGAATTTGATTTCTATATGTGTTTCTTTTTTCCAAATAATTAGCTAGTTATCCCAGCACCATTTGTGGCATAATCTATACTTTCCCCACTGGGATATGCCGTAATAGCATATAATGCATTCCTATAGAAACTTGAGACTCTTTCTGGATTTTCTATTCTGTTTATTGTGTCAAGGATCATAAACTGGGTCCCTGTACCCCATTTCAGGGCTCCAGATGTGTTTTTGATCTTGTTTTGGTTTTTGTCAGAAGTGTGTTTGAATATTGTGAATTTTCATGCCTTTAGGCAGCTCACAAAGTCAGGGCTATCTTAGAGCAAGGTACTTGCCCAAGCCCTTAGAGCACTTGAGGATTTTGCCTGGAGTGGCACTAGCAACATGCTGTTTTAACACTTTCACCTTAGAACACATTTTGGTGTCTGGCAGTGGACATTCCCTCTCATTCTTCTTTTGTGATAGTTCCTTAAGTACTCAGTTCTCTAGATGAACTTTTACATTGTTTTGTCAACATCTATGGGGAAAAAAACTCTCTGAAATTTTGATTGCAATCGCATTAAATTCCTAAATTCATTTGGATGGAATTTACAGCTTTACCATACTGAACCATCATTTAGACATTTTGTAAGTCTATTCAGTTATTTTATATCCTCAGGAGAGGGGAGGGGAGGGAAGGGAAGGGAAGGGAAGGGAAGGGAAGGGAAGGGAAGGGAAAAGATGGGGATAGGACAGACCTCTGTAAATCCGAGACAGCCCTGCGTCTTGCTCAGGGTCCCTGGGAGGGCAGTGAGACTCCAGAGAGGGATGGTGGTGTGCAAGGATCACGAAAACTCCCATGATAGGTACCAAACCAAGCAGCAGAAAGAGCTTCCAGATACGAGGAGACCCTTGGGCAGGAGCAGAGGATGTCTTACACCTACCTCTATGGACCAACCTGGCCCTGGACCACCTGATTTCACGGACAATCAAGGATATGTCTCATATACGTGGCGGGGAGGGTGATTCCAGAAACAGATGGCTTCCTCCTCAAGGGCTGGCGTTGCACAGCTCCTAGGCACGACCTTAAAGAAAGGGAGGGGAAGCCCAGATTGACTGTGCCAGCCTCTGTGGATAAACAAGGAAACATGCCCCTCCGAGGAGCTTGAATCGTTCTTGGCGGTCTTATTGTCGCCCTGCTGGGCGTGTTCCTCCGGGGCTCCGGTGGAGAACCACCTCTTGTTTAGGGTTGGGGTGGCCATTGTGTGGGTGTGTTCTGCGTGGGGTAGGGACTGTCTTGCTTTCTCTGCTGAGCCCACCGGACTAGGTGGAAGCGACAGGTGTGTGTGATGGTCCGCTCTGGAGGGGAGGCTCCGGCGGAGCGTGGGAGGGGAGCAGGGCTGGGGTGGGCCGGGATGGAGGGCGCGGCAGACGGCCAGCAGGGGGCGCCAGACGACCGGCAATGCGGCGGGGCGGACTGGCCGCGCTCGGGACACGCCCCCGCCCGAGACCCCTAGCCCACCACAACCCACGCACCCCACCCCGCTCCCCCTCCCAGACAGAGAGAAGCGGAACGGGCGGTGTGGCGGGCGTGGCGGCAGTAGCGGGCGTGGGAGGGAGGGAGGCAGAGAGAAGAGGGAGCCTGCGCCTGGCGGGAGCGAGCTCAAGGTCCCGGCCAGAGTCCAGCCGGAGACCCCAGGGCGCCCTCCGCACACCCGCCGTCCCACGCGAAGACGTCCGACCTCCAGCCAGATGAGTTAATGCACGCAGCCTGACGGGATCAAGGAAGGCGGCCACCACGGAGTCAACATTTTAAATAGGGTCATTTCCGTTACCGTGTTTTGACATTTCTTCCCGTTTTAAGTTTATGCAAACAAAAACGCGCAGGGCCGGGCGCGGTGGCTCATGCCTGTAATCCCGGCACTTTGGGAGGCGGAGGCGGGTGGATCACCTGAGGTCAGGAGTTCGAGACCAGCCTAGCCAACATGGAGAAACCCCATCTCTACCAAAAGTACAAAAATTAGCCGGGTGTTGTGGCAGGCGCTTGTAGTCCCAGCTACTCGAGAGGCTGAGGCAAGAGAATCGCTTGAACCCGGGAGGCAGAGGTTGCAGTGAGCTGAGATCCCGCCATTGCACTCCAGCCTGGGCGACAGAGCGAGACTCCGTCTCAAAAAAAAACCAAAACCAAAACCAAAACCAAAACAAAACAAAAAACTGGCGCAGGCCCCGAGTCTCTTCTTCTGAGGGGCCTGGCCTGGGCCCTCCTCCTGTGCCTGTCCCCGCGCACCCCCCGCCCGTCCCCCCTTCCCCACCCGGCCCCACCGCGTGCTGGGCCCGCCGCCTGGTTTCTAACCTCGCGCCTCCTCGCGACTCCACCCCTGCCGCCGCTAAGCACCTCCTTTCTTTCTCTGCTCTTCTTCACCAAGGCCCGGCCCCTCCCTCACCCTCACCCACACCTGAACCCCAGGGAGGCCCTAAGAGCAGGGCGCCCGCACAAGGCCGCTCCTCCACCCGATGCCCCTTCTCAGCCACACTCACCAGAAACTGCCTCTGGCCCTGGGCTCCATGGCAACCAGCATCTAACCAGGCCTAATGCCTTCCCAGAAGTTCCTGAGGGCAAAGGGCAGGAGCAGAGAGCAGGACCCCAGCAAGGGGAGGACCAATGGGGGCAGGGGGCAGGGGGCAGAGGGCAGCGCCTGGACTCCACGTGCCGGCCACAGAACCAGGCAGCCTGTTGCTAGGTAACCACATCTCCCATAACTGCCCCAGCACATCGTCCTGAGCCGCCCAACCTGTCTCCAGCCACCTTCTGTGGAGTCTCAAACTCCATCATCTGTGGGACCCTGTAGGCCGAAGGGAGAAACAAGAGTGCAGCCACCACCCCTGAGCCACCTGTGGCTCTGCTACCCACAATTTCACTGTGAAGAGTCAGCTGCCTGGGCCGTGAGGTCACTGCCACCATGAGTCTGGGCATCATGGAAGAGGAAGACCTGGCCGAGTACTTCCGGCTGCAGTATGGGGAGCGGCTGCTGCAGATGCTCCAGTGAGTGTCTGAGGCCTGGCTTGCCCACCCCTCTGTGCCTGGGACCACTCACACCCACCCCATACCTCATCTTCCAACCGTCTGTCCCCTCCTCTCCTGTAACCCAGTGCCCCAAATAACCTTGGCACCAGTCCACCTCATCACGCTGGTCTCCACCCCGTCACCCTCCCCCTGCTCACTCCTGCATGGCCCTCTATGCTTCTCAACACAACAGCCCTTTCCCTCGGAAAGGGAGAGAGGCCCCTCTGCTTCCCCATGGGTATCTGTCTCCACGGGTTACTCCCAGCCCCAGCCTACCCCATGTCAGAACACACAGCCCTCTCGCGTTCACATCTTGGACAGGAAACTCCCCAATGTTGAGGGGGCGTCGGAGTCCCCATCCATCTGGCTACTGGAGAAGAAAAAGGAGACAGAAATCATGCATCAAACTATGGTGCAGAAGAAGAAGGTGGGGACTCAGGGATGGAGTGCAGAGGGGCAGGAAAGGAAGGGGGTGGGCTGGGGCTCTGGGAGAGCCTGTGGACAGCCCTCCATTGTCTGAGTGGGGTGGCTAGAGCCAGGAGTCCTCTATGGTGATCTGGTCTCTTTGGGGAGAACAGAAAGGATCTGGGTCTTGGGGGTACCACTGTCCAGGGATGCTCTGCTCTGGGCCAGGCATGGGGTAGAAAGTGGGAGGCTCCTATGGACCCTCTTGGGCCTGGGGATGGAGCCTCTGGGGCAGGGATGCTGGGGTCTTCCTTGGTACTCATGTCAGGAGCCCTCCTGACCTCTCTGCTCTCCCACCCCCACCCCAAAGATGTTTCAGCGCAGAATGGAAACCCTGAACCTGCGCTGGGAGGAACTGGGCGTTAAGGAAGCCCAACTGAAGGCTCACATCCAGAAGTCTGAGCAGTTCATCCAGGTTTGAAGGGGTGTGGGCGGCCGCAGTGGCCAGGGGATCCATAGTCCGCAGGTGGGCAAACTGCACTCCTCCTCCTTGCTTCTGCTGACTCCTCGCCCTGAGTTAAAAAGCATCCTTAGTGCTCCAACATTGCCTGGCATGTCCCTAGGCGTCCTTTATGTCCCCCACCTGTCTCTGTTTGTAATTTTCCATTTACCTATCAGTCTCTGCTCCCTCTAGATGGCTGTTTCCTATTTCTTTTCCAGTACCTAGGACATACAGTTTATTCAGTAAATGAATGCATGGATGAATGAATGAAGGTGCTACAGTTAGGACTAAACACTTGGGAAATACAGTGATGAATGAGACAGAGTTTTAGTCCCTCCACCCACCCCACCCCTCCATCCTTGTCCTTGCACTGAAGGTCCAGGCAGGGGATGGTTGAAGGACCAGGCACCAGAGTCCATTCCAAGACATCCTCTCTCACTTCAGTCTTTAGTGGAGCACTTTAATCGTCTTAAAAATCCAGATTTATCCAGACCCACTCCAGGTAGCACTTACGCAGCCCTGAAGGGCCTGGTCCAGCTCCGGGAGTGGGTAATGATTGCCGTCGGCCACAAAGAAGCCCCGCTCTTAAGCACCTTCCTTCCTGCTCTGTGCCTAAGCCGTGTGGGACAGGAAGTCCTTGGACTGGGCACATTCTCCAGAGGTCCAGTTCTTCTTAGCAGCCAGAGAAACACTTATGGAGTGGTTGGGGCAGAAGAGATTTGGGCGTGAGGCATTCTCCAAATGGCTCTCAGAGGGTCAGTAGCTTCAATTCCCAGAGAGTTTGCTACAAATACAGACCCCAGGGGCTTCCCTTGTTGCTTTCAGCACGTCTGAGGTTGGGCCCAGGCTTGTATATTTTTAAAAAAGTTCCCCAGGCAGTTCTGATGACCAGGTGGATTTGAAAGTCACTGGTTTAGACTCCCTCAGTCCTGTCCTGGGCTTACAGGGCAGCATACAGATCCTGCATGCACCTTCCTCAGTGGCCTCCAAGTGCCACCACCACATACGCCTGTCTATGTGGAATCACAGGAGCCCCTGAAGGGAGAAAGGAGCCACACAGGGCGAGGGGTGGGCTTGCCCCTAATCTTAGGGGAGGGCTCTGCAGAAGGAAGAGGCAGGATTGGACTGATTGCGGTAACTGAGCCTCGTTCTGTCCTCTGGGCATTGAACTGCCTGTTCCATCTCCTCCCTCAGCGGGATGCCAGTCTGAGCTCCTAGGAGCATGCTCTCCCAGTGGCCTTACCCCCCAGGCCCTATGGCACCAGGCACATCTCCTCTCTCATCTTCCTGGAGCTCCAGCCCTGTTGCCCCAGCTTCTGAAAGGGAGAGGGGCTCCTGCCTCCCATCTCCACAGCTGGGAAAATGGAAGCACCGAGTACTGAATTGGGAGAAAATTCTCGCCTCCCAGCTCTGGTCCGGGAGTGGTCCTTCTGCTCCATGGAAAATGGCCACCACTAAGAACAGAAACCACAGAAGCTTTGTCAGGAGGGTTCTTGCTCCCACTTCTGGACTTTTCTCAGTCTTCTCGGCGGGTTGAGTTCTTCCAGACCGTGAGCCCAGTGCAATGTAGGTCTTCCCCAGTCCACTCTCTGAAGTCCAGAGCCCAAGTCCCACAGGAAAGAACCATTTCCTGTCTGCCCCTCCAGCCCCAGGGCCACCTCTCGACTTTGGATTAAACCTCTGTCCTCACAGCCCCCTGAGCCCCCACCTCAGTCCACAGAAATCTCTTCAGCCAGCTTCAAATACCCCTGGAGAGCCTTTTCCTTCACCCCTCTTCTGCCCCATGGGTGGCCCAGCAATCTCTGCCTGTTGCCAGGATGGTTTGTGCAGACAGAGGGGTCTGAGGGCACCACCAGCCCCAGGAAGGCCTGGGCCCCGGGAGGGCTGGGCGAGGCTTCCTGACCAGCGCCACCTCCCCGGGCCCCAGGAGAACGACCAGAAACGGATCCGCGCCATGAAGAAAGCCAACAAGGAGCGAGAACTCAAGTGCCAGCACATGCAGGAGCTGACCAAGCGCAAGCAGGAGATGGTGGCGCTGCGGCTGGAGCACCAGCGGCTGAGCGCCAAGCTGAAGGACTACTACATCTTCAACAAGTACCTAGAGAAGGTGGTGGAGAACTCCGAGGTGAGTCCAAGGAGCAGGGGGGCCGGCCCTGGCACCTTCCTCAGCCCCACCTCTCTTCCCCGGGGCCTGGGGCCATGGGATGGAATTCAGGCTCAGCTGGCTGGGGACTGTGGACCCTCTGGGCCCCAGGAGCTCTGCAGGATGGGCACCCTGCTCCGAGGAGATGCACCCAGCCCTGGGGGGCACTGGGGAGCAGCTAAAAGAAGCCTCTGGTGAGGCTGGATGAGTTTCTCAAGGGGTGGGGCCTAGTGGTGTGTCTTTGTGTGTCTGTGTGAGCCACAACTGTGTATGTATCTTGCATGAGTTGCGTGTCTATGTCTGCATGTGTGTCCATGGCTGCGTCTGTCTAAAGGGGTGTGTGTGTGGGTGTGTGTCAGCACGTGGCCTCCCTCTATCCCTGCATCCCCTCCTCTCAGTGTCTTCTGTTTACTGGAGAGTAAATTGGGGAGAGGAAGGGAGAGGAGTTGGAAAAACACCCAACCTCCTGCAGAACTAGGGTGCTTTGTATGTGCTGGGCCCCGGGGTTGGTGCTTCACACGGGTAACTTCATTCAGTTCGCTGGTGAGCCCCAGGGTGAACCCAAGCTGATCAGCCTTTTACAGAGAAGGAAATGGAGGCTCCGAGAGGTTAAGTCACCTGTTCAGAGTCTCGCAGCTCGTCAGTGGGGAGAGCCTTTGCTTTTAGCCACTCCTCAGTGGGCCCCACAGTGCCATTGATGAGGGCTCTCCCTGCAGTCCCTGTAGCCGGAGCCCAGGGAACTTCTTGGTTCCACCGCGCCTCTTGGGGGCAGCGTCTGACACTGCCGATGCCCCTCCCGGAAACCCCCCTCTGCCCTCAACTCAGTGGCACCTCCCTCTCTCTCCTACCTCTGACCTCTCCTTCTCAGGCTCCTCCGGCGGGGGCGCCTCTTCCCAGCTCCTTCTTGTGTGGTGGGTCCAGGTTCTCTGTCTCAGATCCTCCACTTTTTTTTTTTTTTTTTTTTTTGAGACGGAGTTTCACTTTTGTTGCCCAGCCTGGAGTGCAGTGGCTTGATCTCGGCTCACTGCAACCTCCACCTTCCGGTTTTCAAGTGATTCTCCCGCCTCAGCCTCCCGAGTAGCTGGGATTATAGGCACCCGCCATCACGCCCAGCTAATTTTTGTATTTTTAGTAGAGATGGGTTTCACCATGTTGGTCAGGCTGGTCTCGAACTCCTGACCTCGTGATCCGCCTGCCTTGGGCTCCCAAAGTGCTGGAATTACAGGCGTGAGCGATCCTCCACTTTTCTTCTTAGCAATGTCCAGGGCCTCCCATGGATGCCACCCATGTCACATTATCTCCTCCCCCATGTGACCAACAGCCAGAAGATCCCCTCACTAGGGCAGATGGAGGCACCTCCTCCAGGGGTGTGGATCCATGTCCTCTGAGGGAAGGGGCGACAGGATGCACAACTGTTTAAAGGTCCCACAATTTCCATATCAAACCACTAACCTAATTTACTCATGCATGAGTCCCACCTCTGCATTATTTCCTCCACTCAAAGGTGCTACGTACTATAAGGTCAGTGGTTCATTTCATAGTTGGGGTTTGTTGGGGGGGCAGGAAGTAAGGAGGGACTACCAGATTAAAACTGCAGATGAATTACAAGATGTGGCCAGGTACGGTGGCTCACGCCTGTAATCCCAGCACTTTGGGAGGCCGAGGTAGGTGGATCACCTGAGGTCAGGAGTTCAACACCAGTGTGGCCAACATGGTGAAACCCCGTCTCTACTAAAAATACAAAAACTAGCTGGCCGTGATGGCAAGCACCTGTAATCCCAGCTACTCGGAAGGCTGAGGCAGGAGAATTGCTTGAACCCAGGAGGCGGAGGTTGCAGTGAGCCGAGGTTGCACCATTGCACTCCAGCCTGGGCGACAAGAGCGAAACTCCGTCTCAAAAACAAACAAACCAAAAAAAAATTGTAAGATGTGTCTTGAATTCAGAGTTGGGAAAATATATATCTTAGAATGGAGGAAATTGGCCTGTCTCTCCCTCCTAAGCTTGAGACCCCCATATTTAATTCATCCCATGCACACTCATCTCATCTGCTTCCTGCCACCCCCAGGACAGCCCTGCCGCTGGCGCGACGACCTGTGCTGGTGAAAGGCAGGACCACCCACTCACAGCCCCGCCAGAACTCAGGCCTCCTTGGCTCCTCCCTCCTGCTCAGTGCCACAGCTATCAATCAGCAGATCTGGTCTGTTCTGCCTTGGAAGTATTTCTGGAATCCAGCCCCTGCCCCTTCCTCATCCAGGCCACCAGTGGTACCTCGTCTGGAGTTCAACTCTGGCGTCGTTCCTGGCCAGCCTGTTCAGCATTCCCCCAGCCCCCCTCTCTTTCTCTTTTTTCTTCTTTATTTTGTTCAAAATACTTTAAGAATACTGGAAAGTATAGAGACACACATAACAGCAACCAAGTACTCATCACACAGCTTTGCTAAATCTTCGTATTTTCCCCATCTGCCCCCAGTTCTTTTGTCTTAAATCAAACACTACCGATAATTGAAATCCAGTAAATGAACTCCTTTGTGTCCTTCCAAATCTTATGTTTCTTCACCTGTCCTCAGACATCACGAGTATCCTGCTTTTAAAAATTCTCAAGTCATGCTTTTTATTATTTTGTAACATTTTGTAACATTTAACGTTTTGTAACTTTTTATTTGAGTATTCTGCTTTCAAAAATTCTCAAATAGCCAGGTGCGGTGGCTCACGCTTGTAATCCCAGCACTTTGGGGAGGCCGAGGTGGGCAGATCACGAGGTCAGGAGTTCGAGACCACCCTGGCCAACACGGTGAAACCCTGTCTCTACTAAAAATACAAAAATTAGCTGGGCGTGATGGCGGGTGCCTGTAATCTCAGCTACTCCGGAGGCTGAGGCAGGAGAATTGCTTGAACCCGGGAGGCAGAGGTTGCAGTGAGCCAAGATCATGCCATTGCACTCCAGCCTGGGTGACAGAGCTAGACTCCGTCTCAAAAAAAAAAAAAAAAAAATCTCAAATCATGCTTATTATTTTGTCACATTTAATGTTTTGTAACTTTTTATACGGAATTTTTTAAGCATACACAAAAGTAAAGACAATAGTCTATTGAACACCTGTTGCTCATTACCTGATTCTAATAATGATTAATTCATAGTCACATCCCCCACACTTTCCCACCTCTGCCATTTTGAAGCAAACAATATATTTTCATCCATTTGCGTCTCTCTGCAGTATGTATCTCTAAGAGATGAGAGCTCTTTTTAAAATAACTACACCATTGTCACACCTACTATACAATTGATAGTAATTCCTTAACATCAAATATCAGTATCATTTATTGCACAAAATGGGTCAAGCGTGGTGGCTCATGCCTGTAATCTCAGTGCTTTGGGAGGCTGAGGTGGGAGGATCACTTGAGCCCAGGAGTTCAAGACCAGCCTGGGCAACAAAGTGAGACCCCCCCCAAATCTGCAAAAAATTAAAAAATAAAAATCAGTCAGGAATGGTGGCACACACATGTGGTCCCATCTACTTGGGAGGCTGAGGCAGGAGGACTGCGTGAGCCCAGGAGGTCAGGGCTGCAGTGAGCTGTGTTTATGCCACTGTAGTCCAGCCTGAACAATAGAGTGAGACCCTGTCTTTTAAGACAAATTATTGCACGGATGCTTTTTGTACAGTTGGTTTGTTCCAATGAGAGTCCATATAAGGTCCTCACACTGCCCTTAGTTGGTATGCTTCTTAAGCCAGACACAAAAGAGGTTATATCGTATGATTCCATTGATGTGTTTAAAAACAGGTAAAATTAATCTTTATTGATAGAAGTCAGAATATTGGTTTCCTCACTGGTCGGGGGAAGACACTCACTAGCAACCCTTCCTCATTTATTTGCTAGAATACTACCATAAAGAAAAGGACTTCATAAAGAGATCCTTTCCTTCATCCACCATTTGATTACTATGTGGGTCTCGCAGAGAAAGTTTGTTAAATGCTTTATTTAGTTTTCAGAATAATGAATTTGTTCTCTAGCACTGACCTGTAATGTTTCTAGTATCATTGTGAACTGATGGATTTTTAACATATTTGATATGTTTTAATCCTTTGCACTTATTCTTACTAATGTTCAAATCATCTCATCTTTGGGCAGTGGGTGGCTCTTCGATTTGGCACCTAAATCCTTTTGACATCAGCATTAAGTTTAGAGGTGTGTTCCTAGTAGCTCTGATGTGGTCCATTTATTTGAACTGTGGTACACTGTTGCACTGTGTGCCAGATGAACTTTCAGAAATGCACACGTGAATTGTCTGTTTCTTAAAATCCTTCAATGGATAAAGTCCACACTCCTTCCCAAGGTTTACTGAGCTCGCTTGCTTGCTTGCTTTTCTTTTTTTCTTTTTCTTTCTTTCCTTTTTCTTTTCTTTTTTCTTTCCCTTCCTTCCTCCCTCCCTCTTCTTTTCTTTTTTTCTTTTCCTTCCTTTCTCCCTCCCTCCCTCTCTCTCTTTCTTCTTCTTCTTCTTCCTTCCTCCTTCCCTCTTTCTTTCTTCTTCTGCTTTCTTCTTCCTTTCTTCTTCTTCTCAGTCTCTCCCTCCCCATCTTGAACTCAGGCTACCTTCAGCATCCTGAACATACAACCCCCTATTCCATTCATCTTTGCCCAGGCTGTCTCCTTCACCTGTAGCACTGCCTCACCTCCCTACACCTGCTTTTGCTAGCTATCTTCTATTTATATACCTCTCATCTCATTTCAGCCACACTTTCTCCCATGAAACCTTTTCTGGCTGTTCCTACCTCTTTCCGTGCTGGGTTGGGTGGCCCTTCCCCAAAGAGGCATATTTGGGGAAAGGCCAGCAGGGCAGTTCCCAGGACACGCATCCATCACTGGAGATGTCACGAGATGGAGAAGGTGCTCGGGAAGTTTCCCCTGGGCGGCTGAAAGGCATGCTTTGATAAGCCCCTAGGAAGGCAACTTGGTATCACAGAACTGGTGTTCATGCTGCCTTCTAAAGAGCGTGGGTTTCATGGCTTCTGTTCCACTGAGTGGGACCTGAGGGTTAGGGCCAGAGTGGCATGGTTCTGGACCAGGCTGGGGGAGGTGAGCTGAGTCTGGCAGGCCACCTGCCCCACCAGCACCCTCTCTATCCCTGCTTCTCCCTCAGTAAATGAACAAATACCAGAGATCACCAACGTGAAGGCTTTCCCAGAGTCCCCTCCAGCCCTATCCCCCAGTCATAGATAGGGCTTATCTTGCTGTTGTAACTGACTGTTTACTTGTCTGTCTGTCCTCCCTCCATGCCACCCCCCAAGCTGTAAGCTTCCTAAGAGCAGAATCTGGTTTTCCTAACTCCTGCTATTTCCCTAGCATTTAGCATAGCTCCTGGCTTGTAAGTGGTTCCTGGTACAATCTTGTTGAATAGGAAATTCTTGCCTTGGAAGACATTGCAAAATGCCTTCCATCAGCGATTATCAACCCTGGCTGTGCCTAGAGCCACCAGGGGACCTTTTGCAAAATTCAGATGCCAGAGACCACAGAAGACTTGTTTATTCATCTGAATCTCTGGGGGTGGAGACTGGCAGGTGTCCTTTTTAAAGCCCCTACAGGTGATTCTCACATGCAGTTAAAGTCGAAAATCCCTAGCCCAGTTGTGCATCCCCCTGCCCAACAAATGGACCGTGGCCCGTACAAACCCAGGAGAAGCAGGCAGCGGAACCCCAGTGTCCCTCACAGCCTCTGGCCGTGACCCTGGCCAAGGGCCTGCCTGCCCAGGTGTCCAGGTGTCCAGGCATCCAGGCTGGAGGTTGGCAGGACTGGGTGGCTCCCTCAGGCCCCAGGGGCTGGCTGTGCATTGACCTGAGCCCCTGACCACAGTTCGAGGAGATCCATGAGGTGATTGCACGCTACAAGACGCTGGTGAGCATGCGCCACGACCTCATGCAGTCTGCGCAGGAAGGCCAGGAGAAGATTGAGCGCGCCAAGGCCCGGCTGGCGCGCTACATGGAGGAAAAGGATGATGAGATCCTGCAGCAAAACAATGAGCTGGCAAGGCTGCAGATGCGCTTTGACCGTGCCCGCAGCAATGTCATCTTCTGGGTGAGGGGCCCGGGGCGGGCCGGGGGCTCCCAGGCACTGGGTGAGTGCGGGCCCTGAGCATACACACACACACATACACACAAACACACACACACCACATGCTGTGCTCATGCCCCGTCCTTATCCACTCTCCAGGAATCTCGCTGGGCGCACATCCAGAACACCGCAGCCAAGAAGACCCTCCTGCTTGGCACCATTAAGATGGCCACGCTGAACCTCTTCCAGATCGTGAGCAAGCACCTGAAGGAGGTGACTGAGGTGGCACTGGAGGACACCCACAAGCAGCTGGACATGGTAGGAGGAGGGGACAGGCACTGGGCCCGTGGGGTCGGCTGGGCCGAGGAGGTTGCCAGTTGGTTGGGTGGAAGAATGAACCTGACAGAGAAGCAGAGCAGGGACTCTCAAAATTTAACAACATCAGGATCACCTGGGAGGGTGAGGAGTATTACTGGGCCCCACCCGCAGAGTCTCTGACTCAGTGGATCTGAGATGAGAACTCATGAATTTACATTTTCAGCAAGTTCCCAAGTGACGCTGCTGGTTCGGGTTCCATACTTTGAGAACCATTGCATTAGCACCGAAACCCTTTTAGCCCCAGTCTACAGAGCAGTAGCAGGGACCCACTACTGAATCCATTAGTTGTGCAAAACAGCCTCATTAAATTCTAGTGAGATACTGTGGCTTGCTGAAGGCTTGAGCTTGAGGCCCACACTTCGTTAAAAAGAGAAATTGGGGCCAGGCACGGTGGCTCATGCCTGTAATCCCAGCACTTTGGGAGGCCTAGGTGGGTGGATCACCTGAGGTTGGGAGTTCCAGGCCAGCCTCAAAAAAACAAACAAACAAAAAACAAAACAGCAATTGACTTAGAGGCACTTTCCCTACTTTTCCAAAAAAAAAAAAAAAGTGAAATTCATGAAATATACACAGCTAGGAAAAAGGAGTTCCCTAAAACAAATAATTAGCCTACATTTTAAAGCCTGTTTGAACAGAATTATTTTATAGCCCAAAGGAGGGCGTTTGTAAGCAAGTGTGTTCTGGAAGTAGCAATTCTCAACATTTCACCTTTACACTCCTAGAGTTTATTGAGGATTCCCAGAGAGCTTTTCTTTATATGGTTGTATCTATAATTGCCACAATAGAAATTAAAACAGAAAATTTTAAAACATTTGTTTAATTCATTCATTTTTAAATAATGATAAAAAGTATGTTAACAGAAATAGCATTTTTTATGGAAAAAAGTTTCAAAACTGTTTTGTGAGAAGAGTGGCATTGTTTGACGCACTTGCAGATCCCTTTAATGTCTAGTTTAACAGAGGACAGGCCGGTGCTCATGTCCACTCCTGCGTTCATTCTGTTGTGACAGCATATGTCATGGAAACTCCTCTCTGGGAAATGCCACTGTGTGCTCATGAGAGAATAAGAGCGAAAAAAAGGCAAATAACATTTTAATATTATCGTAAAAAGAGTTTTGGCCTCAAAAACCCCTATGACCCACAATAGGGTCTCAGAGACTCCAGAAATCCTCGGGCCCCCTCCCCTCAGCCTCCCGGAGGTCCTCAGGCCCTTGCCCTTAGCTGTTGTAAAGAAAGATGCAGTGGGAGGGCCCAGCACAGTGGCTCACACCTGTAATCCCAGCACTTTTGGAGGCTGAGGCGGGTGGATCATGAGGTCAGGAGTTTGAGACCAGCCTGGCCAACATGGTGAAACCCCATCTCTACTAAAAATGCAAAAATTAGCCGGGCATGGTGGCAGGCACCTGTAATCCCAGCTACTCGGGAGGCTGAGGCGGGAGAATCGTTTGAACCTGGGAGGCGGAGGTTGTAGTGAGCCAAGATCGTGCCATTGCACTCCAGCCTGGGCAACAAGAGCAAGACTTCATCTCAAGATTCACTGGGAGATGCTGCCCTCCAGCAGCTCACTCCCACAGGCACATCTCCTGCTGAGACCATGGCTTCTAGTCCATCCACTCCAAATTTTGAGTTTCTGAATCCCTCTCAACTTGGATTCACCTCTACAGGAGAACTTCAGATTGCCCAAAAGTTATTAGAAAATATCTCACTTCATTCCCGTAGGAGATGAACCTACTCACGGAAATACACGACCGAGTCGCCTACAGATTTAAACTTAAGGACCTGGGAAAGTACAAGTTGAAATCAGAGGTCAAGGATGGAGAGAAATACAGACTGCCCTTGGTTCTTAAGGGTCTTAGACAGGGGCAGTAATTGTTTCTGAGCTTGCTGGTAACCTGAATGAAAAGCCACCTGTAGCTCTTATACTAGAATAAGAAAAAATAAGGTTTCCTCCGAGACAATGTGCCTTTTCCCAGCACTTAGTTCTCACTGAAATTTCTCGATGAGGCTTCATTGACACTGTATGAATAATGTTCTCAACAGCATCCCTGCAACCAATGCAGGCACTGGCTTTGTAAGGCAGCTGCTTATAGAGAACAAGGAACGTGGTACACAGGACAGCTTAGGAAAAGCGATTCTGCAGAAGGCCAAGTCAATTTGAATTCCTTCGAGTGTGTCATGGAAGGTTTGGCATTATCCCTGAAGAAAAGCCAAACTATCTGAACAAGCACTTTCCAGACTGAATCTCCTGAGCTATTGTTTCCTAGGGGGAATAAAAGGACTCCATAGACTAATACATTTAGAAACTCTAAATTAAACGAAGATGAGATTAAAAAAACAAACAGGACTTGGAGTCTTTGCTATAGTTCTATGCCCTGAGATGCTCCCAGCAGACAGCGTTTCTAAAACTGACTTGACCACAGGACTCCTTTGGGGCATGTGACCACTTATTATGAGAACATAGCTCAGGAAACGCTGACCTGTCTTCTCTGTCATCTTGGGAAAGCTGCTTTAATTCATTGACTCTCTGTTTTCTCATTTGCAAAATGGGAATGATATTGGTAATGGTAACAGTATCAGCAGCTGACAGTTGTTGAGAGCTTTGGACAAAGTCTGTGTAGTTCCATCTCCAGAGACAGCCTTGAAAAGGAGAAGTTTTAGAACTGAAATCCTTTTTTTATTTTTTTAATTTTAGGTTCAGGAGTACACGAGCAGGTTTTTTTTTTTTTTTTTTTTTTTTTGAGACGGAGTCTCACTCTGTCGCCCAGGCTGGAGTGCAGTGGTGTGATCTCGGCTCACTGCAAGCTCCGCCTCCCAGGTTCACGCCATTCTCCTGCCTCAGCCTCCCGAGTAGCTGGGACTACAGGCGCCCGCCACTACGCCTGGCTAATTTTTGTATTTTTAGTAGAGACGGGGTTTCACCGTGTTAGCCAGGGTGGTCTCGATCTCCTGACCTCGTGATCCGCCCGCCTCGGCCTCCCAAAGTGCTGGGATTACAGGCTTGAGCCACCGCGCCCGGCCTTAATTTTTTGTATTTTTAGTAGAGATGGGGTTTCACTGTGTTAGTCAGGATGGTCTCGATCTCCTGACCTCGTGATCCACCCGCCTTGGCCTCCCAAAGTGCTGGGATTACAGGCGTGAGCTACCGCGTCCAGCCAAGCAGGTTTGTTATATAGGTAAACTCATGTCACAAGGGTTCGTTGTACAGGTTATTTCATCACTCAGGTATTAAGCCGAGTATCCAATAGTCATTTTTTCTGATCCTCTCCCTCCTCCCACTCTCCACCCTCAAGCAGATCCCAGTATGTGTTGTTCCCCTCTTTGTGTCCACGTGTTCTCATCATTTAGCTCCCACTAATAAGTGAGAACACTCAGTATTTGGTTTTCTGTTCCTGCGTTAGTTTGCTAAGGATAGTGACCTCCACCTCCATCCATGTGCCTGCAAAGGACGTGATCTCATTCTTTTTTATGGCTACATAGTATTCCGTGGTGTATAAGTACCACATTTTCTTTATCCAGTCTACCATTGATGGGCATTTAGGTTGATTCTCTTTGCTATTGTGGATAGTGCTTCAGTAAACATCCCCATGCATGTGTGTTTATGATAGAACGATTTATATTCCTTTGGGTATATAACAAGTAATAGGACTGCTGGGTTGAATGGTAGTTCTATTTTAATTCTTTGAGGAATCACCATACTGCCTTCCACAATGGTTGAACTAATTTGCACTTCCACCAACGGTGTATGAACGTTCCCTTTTCTCCACAACCTCAGCAGCATCTGTAACTTTTTGACTTTTTAATAGTAGCCATTCTGGTGTGAGATGGTATCTCACTGTGGTTTTGGTTTGCATTAGAACTGATATCTTAGAGGCTGTCTGGGCCAATCTTTTCTCCCTCTCTCCTTATTAAAGATGAAGAACTGAGTTCCAGAAAGATGGAGTGATTGCCCCAGACCTGCGACGGGGGCCCAGCTAGGTCATCTGACTTCTGGAGCATGACTTCCGTGTCATGCTGACTGCGTGCTCTTTACAAAACAGAAGGCGGTGAACAGAATTTACATTCCTTTTCATGACTCAAGGTTATCATGATGAGCATCAGCTCTGGGTTTCGAATGCACGACCACCTTGAGGGCGGTGAAGTTGTGGAAGGCGGTCTGCCCATGCTGACGGAACCCTGCCTGCTAAATCCTTTTCATCCACCAGCCTGCTTGTGACCCTTTCTTTCTTATCCCTCCTGCTTGACTCTCAGCCTGGACTTCATACATCACCAGGGTCTGCCTTCAGGAGTTCCCAACTCCATCCCTGTTTTGTTGCTTCTCATCGGCTACACCCAACACTCAATTTCACCTCAAAACATTGTCAAATGAGAGAAAGTGGCCTCCTCAAGAAGTCAGTCATGGTTGGGTGCAGTGTCTCATGCCTGTAATCCCAGCCTTTTGGGAGGCTGAGGCGGGTGGATCACTTGAGGTCAGTAGTTCAAGACCAGCCTGGCCAACATGGTGAAACCCCATCTCTACTAAAAACACAAAAATTAGCTGGGCATGGTCACAAGTACCTGTAATCCCAGCCACTCAGGAGGCTGAGACACGAGAATTGCTTAAACCCAGGAAGCGGAGGTTGCAGTGAGCCTAGATCGTGCCACTGCACTCCACCCTGGGTGACAGAGCAAGACTCTTGTATCAAAAAAATAAATAAATAAAAATTTAAAAAGAAGTCAGTCACAGGAAAGCAATGATGAATTCTTTACAAGTGAATGTCTGGGATGCTCCATCTTGGGACAGGGGAGGCCTCTGGGGGGCGGAGTTAACGCTGGGCTCCTTGCCTTTCTAGATCCAGCAATTTATCCAAGACCGGTCGGACATCTGGGCAGAGGTGAAAAAGAAGGAACAACAGCGAGTCCGGATTTAAGGAGGCAGCCTTGTTCCAGAATGTCCTGAGACAGAGATCGTGAAAGAAGAAGTCGTGAGCCTGCGGTCCAGTCAGTCCAGCTCGGGACCGATGCCTGCTGTGCCTTCCTGCTGAGGGACACCTGCTTATTTTCCCCCGTGGGCCTCACTCTATCCCTGAAAACAGTGAATGTTATATGAAGTTTGTTCTCAAGTTCTCTCTAGCCCTTTGGTAGTTTATTCATGGGGAAGAGTGCAGTGACGGGGGACCCCCCCAACAAGCACTCACTCTCAAAGCTGGTCACCTAGGCTGCCTGGGAACTAGAAACCACATCTTAGGTCTGGTGTCCCCTCACCTTTGGGCTCACACACAGTCAGTGTTCAGGTGGGCAACAAACCAGTAGGGTCAGTACAGAGGACTCTTCTCTCATCCACCACTTCAAACTTTTATATTTTATTTTATATTTTATATTATATTATTTTATTTTATTTTATTTTTTTATATTTTATATTTTATATTTTATTTTATATTTTATAATTTTATATTTTATATTTTATTTTATTTTATTTTTATTTATTTTATTTTATTTTATTTTTGAGATGGAGTTGCCCAGGCTGAAGTGCAAGGCGCGATCTCGACTCACTGCAACCCCTGCCTCCTGGGTTTAAGCGATTCTCCTGCCTCAGCCTCCCGAGTAACTGGGATTACAGGCGCCCGCCACCATGCCGGGCTAATTTTGTATTTTTAGTAGAGACAAGGTTTCACCATGTTGGTCAGCCTGGTCTCGAACTCCTAACCTCAGGTGATCCACCCACCTTGGCCTCCCAAAGTGCTTGGATTAGAAGCATGAGGTGTTTCTAATTTGGGTGCAAAGACCCACTTAAAACTACGAAGGCAGCTTCCCAGGTCAGAGCTGCAAAAGTGCTGAGTCGAGCACTCTTCCCTGACTTCAGGAGCAAGCTCTGCTCCCCTGCCCCACTGTGTGCGCTAAAACATGCAAGCCAGTGTCAGCAACGCTAAGGAAGGAACAGCCCTAGTTACTGCCCTAGTTACTGGGCAGGCCACCAGTAACTAGGGAGGGATCACTAATGTGCCAAATGACAAGCTCAAGGCTCAGGAGCACCTCAGCAGGCTGGGATGATGGATTAAAACCAGCCAAACTCAACTCAATTGAGGTCAATGTAAAATCTCAAACTTAGGTTCAAAAACTCAATTGCACATTTTTAAATCAATAGCAAAAGCCAAGTCAGAGAGCCGTGGGGAAGTAACATGTATTCAACAGGGACTTCATTTGTATCCGCCTTTTGAAAACCCAGTGAGGCATCATTATCCTGACTCACAGAGCAGGATGCTTGCCTGGGAACCCTGGCTACAGGACGACAGGGTCAGGATTCACCCCTGGGTCTGCTCTTCCTGAGCCTGGTCTCTCCCCCTCGTCAGTCTGCCTCCCAGAAAGCAGAGGCCCTGTGCTTTTGTCCCCAAAGCAGGCTGAGGAGCAGACTTAACAAGGCTCCGTGTCTCCTCCCTGGCCCTGTGATCCTAGAGGGCCCTCAGACTGCCCGGATTCCTGTTGTCTCAGGGAAGGCACTGCTGCAGCTGCCCTGCCAGGATCGCTGCGTGGCCGCAGTAACCCCTCACCTTCACATACAACACCTTACAGCAGTCATTCTCAGGCGTGGTCCCCGGACCAGCAGCGTCAGCATCACCTGGCAACTTTACCAGTTAAATTCTCAGGCCCCACTCCAGACCTGAGAATCAGAAACTCCAGGGGTGGGACCCAGCACTCTGGGTTTTAAGAAGCCCTCCACATGATTCTGATGCGTGCTCAAGTTGAAGAACCACTGCCCTGCAGTGACCAAACACTTTCAAGCACCTGGGCTCCACTCATTTCCTACCTCAAGAAGCAATACGTGTCTACCTGGGTCAGCGTTTAGCAAGAGAAGTAAGTAGATTGATAGATAGATAGATAGATAGATAGAGATGGATGGATGGATGGGTGGGTGGGTGGATGGGTGGATGGGTGGATGGGTGGATAGATGGATGGATGGGATAGATAAATAGTAAATAGAAGATAGATGGTAGGTAGATAAGATAGGAGATAATAGCAGATAGATGATAGATACATAGATATAGAAGATAGATGATAAATTAGATGATAGATAAATAGCAAATAGAAGATAGATAATATGTAGATAGATCGGAGATAGACAATACATAGTAGATAGATGATAGATACAGATCAATAGATCAACAGATAGATGATAAATAGTAAATAGAAGATACATGGTAGATAGATAGGAGATAGACAATAGATAGTAGAGATAGATAGATAGATAATAGATACATAGATACATAGATAGATACACAGGTAGATAAATACATAGATAGATAGATAGATGGTAGAGAGAGATTCTTCTGGTATATGTGAAGGGCTTTGTTTCAGGGATTTGACTGTAGGCAGTTGTGGGCACTGGGTAAGCAGTGTCTATAAAGCAGCTGTCTTCCCATCTGATGCTGAGGCTTGAAGTTCGCAGGGGAGATGGTTGGGAAGGAAGCATGGAGGTAAAGTGGGGCAGATCAAGGACAAGTCAGAATCCATAGCACAGGCTGGAGACCCGAGGACAGACAGGCAGACAGAAACCCACGTCAGTTCTTGTTGCTTCTGAAATTGGTGGTGTGGGCGTCCTGCCAAAGCCAGGATCCTTCGTCCTGGAAATGAACACATACGCCTGGCCCAGGGGCAGGAGACTGAAGGAGGTTCCAGGGGAGGGCGGGCAGATGCAGGCCTGGCCACCGCCTCACACCAATGCCGCCAGTCAGCAGGCATTGAGTAAGTTTGTGGATTTGTGGCTTCTCTTGTACTCAAGAAATCTGCCTAGACCCACAGAATTTCTTCTGCCCCAGGGCTGGGCCCCTCTTTAAGCCTGAAAAATGCAACAATATCAGAGTGAGTCCGCCCCCAAATCCCCTACGGGAAGCTTTCTGTGACCCACACTAACAGGACACACCCAAGAAAAGGAATTCTGAGAATACAATTCTGCCTAGGCATGCTGACTTATCCCGAAGCCTCCACGCTATCATCATCTCCATTTCACAGGTGACGAAACCAAGGCAAATCTGCCTTCAGAAGCGAGGAACGGATGCTGGAGGCTGCAGTCCTGCCGGCTGGCCCTGGCCAAACAGGCGTCTCTAGTGGATGGAGGGCAGAGGTCACCTCACACACCCAGGACAGCGAGTGCTAAGGGGGTGCTCAGAGGGGCATGGAGGGGTTGGGGATCTCCAGAAACGGCCGTGGGTGAAGGATATGCTGCTGAAATAACTTCTCCACGTTCAGCCTCCTGGTCTGGGTCCTGGGAGGTGGGAGAAGGCGCAGAACAGGCAGTTCCCCCAACTCCCCAATATACACACTTCCCCCCACAGCCCCGTCTTCTGCTGTCGCTGTAAGGTGGTGTTTGAGAAGCCCAGGCTGTTCGGCCTGAACACACTTCCTCTTGGAGTGTGCAAGGCCCCCTCAGCACCACCCCTACAGCACCACCCAAGGCCCTGTGCGAGAAGCTGAAGGCACTCCCTCTGCCTCCTTCCTCTGCACTCCCTCCTCGGCTTCACCACCCTGCGCCACCAAGTTTCCAGGGCTTGACTGAAACAGGGACTCCTCAGGGTCACACTCAGAACTCCTGTGATCACACATAAGCTTATCCTGAGACACACGTGTTTACACGTGTGTATAACTTACGCTGATATTGCCTGTGTGTAACTCTGCATGTGCATGCTGTTAAGTGTGCATACACTCACCCCGATACTGCAGATGTATAACTAGTATGTGCATATTATGTATGTGTATAACTCACTCTGATATTGTTGCATATTTCATGCTTAAAAAGGGTGGTCCAGCCCTGGGGCAGAAGAAATTCTGTGGGTCTAGGCAGATTTCTTGAGTACAAGAGAAGCCACAAATCCGCAAACCTACTCAAGCCCACAGACACAGGGAGAACAAATCCAAATGGTGCAGGGATTCCCAGGCGCCGGAGTGACGGGGTCTCCCCATCGGGAGGGTAATGGCAGTCACAGACAGGCCCTCGCTCCTTCCCTACCCCACCCCAGCCCCATCTCAGGCCTTCTGCATGGCTACCCGGGGCCCTATAGCCACATAAAGAAGCCAAGACAACCCGGTCAAGAGGGATTCCAACTCTCAGATGCATGAGATCACGCTCCAAGAACAAGAAGATGAAGGTAAGGGCCTAACTGGAGTTTTTCCCAGCAAGAAAAGACACTAACTCACGAGAGCAGAAATAACTGATTTGTTCCAGAAATGAATGGTTCTCATCAGCAAAGGCAGGAAGTAGGGCTCTGGGTGTTTTATGGATAAAGGGAGGGAAGAGGAAGGAAGCCCTTCAGGAGCTCACTCTCAGTGTAGAGCACTCGGTTCCCCTCCAAACCCGTGAGCAATGGCCTGAGGTTCCCCTTAGCTTTCACCTTTGAAACACCAGGAAGAGGCTCCCAGTGTAGGCCATGGAGTGCGGAATGATGAGTAGGGGAAGGACAGAAGAGGGGGTTGGAGGGGTTTGGGGGACTAAGAGCTGAGCCTGCAAGCAGGCAGGTGGGCAGACAGCTGCATGTCTGTCACAACGCCTTGCCATATACACAACCTCCAAACTGCTGCTAAAGATGGGATTAAAACCAAGCTTTGAGCACCCTTCCAGGTGATCTCGGTCTCCCTGGAGTAGCTGAAGAGCCTCTGCTTCTGTGAGATCAGCTACTAGCCCTTGGGATCAGCCCCCCTCCTCGCAAGGTTTTACCCTCAAAGCCCTTTCCCTAGCTTCCAGACCAGGGTCCCACATATTACGGACAAGGCTTTCGGTCAGCTGGAAGGGCTCTAGAACCTTGTGCTTCTCCTTTCAAGCCATCTTAGGGTTGATCACTTGGGCATCTGAGTGAGCTCCTATGCTCCTGGACTTTCGGTCCCAGCAATGTTTACTGGAAGCCTTCCATGTGCATAGCAGGGTGCTGAGGCCAAGCGGAGTCCCACGAGACCCCTGTCTCAGGCCAAACTTCTTCTCTTGGGAGATCAGAGCTGCTGAGAGCTGTGACACCAGCCCAGTGCAGCTTCCTCACCTGCAATGGCCTGAGGTTCCCCTTAGCTTTCACCTTTGAAACACCAGGAAGAGGCTCCCAGTGTAGGCCATGGAGTGCGGAATGATGAGCCAGGCTCGGAGGCAACCGGAGTATGATGTCACCCTCGGGGTAGAGGGGGGGACAAATAACCATTTTAGGAATCTTATGAGGAAAAGAGGTGGCTCTAGAAACATCCAACAGAAAGACAGCCAGCTGCACAGCGACGCGAGGCTGATTGTGTTAGTTTTCTAGTCTGCATAACAAATTACTGCAAACTGGGGGTCCTGAACCAACACTCACATGTTACCTCACGGTAGCAGCTCAGAGTCCGCATGGGCTGGCTTGGCTCTGCTCAGCGTGTCATGAGGCTGCAACCATGTTGTGCAATGGCTGGGCCGTCACCTGGAGGCTCAGGGGAGGAATCCACTTCCAAGCTCCTTCAGGTTGCTGACATAATCCAATTCCTGAAGCTCTAGGGCTAAGGTCCTCATTTCCTTGTTGGCTGTCAGCTAGGGGCCCCTCTGCTCTTAGAGGCCAACTGCATTCCTCATTGCACAGCCTCTTCCATCTTCAAAGCCAGCAACAGCATGTGGAGTCCCTGTCAGGCTTTGAATCTGACTCTCTTCCAATACCAGCTAGAGAAATTATCTGCTTTCAGAGGGCTCCTGCAATTAAATTAGACTCACCCAGATAATCTCCTCCTTTTGCCCCAATACCGGAAGGCGAAGGTCATGGGAACTGTCTTAAAACTCTTCCTACCACACTGATGGAGAAAGGATGTCAAAACAGCTTCTGAAGAAAGAAGAGGAGGGGGCGAAGAGTGACTATGACAAGGATGGGAAAAAAAAATATTTTAGGCTGGGCATGGTGGCTCCTGCCGGTAATCCCAGCAGTTCTAGAGGCCAAGGTGGGTGGATGGCTTGAACCCAGGAGTTCAAGACTAGCCTGGGCAACATAGCAAGACCCTGTCTTTACAAAAACTATTTAAAAATTAGCAGGGCACTGTGGCTCTTGCCTGTAGTCCCACCCACTCAAAAGGATCGCTTGATCCTGGGAGGTTGAGGCTGTAGTGAGCTGTGATCACGCCACTGCACTCCAACCTGGGTAACAGGGCAAGACCCTGTCTCAAAAAAAAAAAAAAAATTCTTTCAGATGTGCACCTGAGCTAACAGTTACTAGTGATAGTTTTTATCAACACAGGTTTCTATGGGGATTATAGATGTCTAGGGAGTCAATAAATGGGCTTCAGACTGGGAATCACCTAATTTTTTATGAAACTTTTATATATAAGCATATGTGATTTTTCATGGCTGAGGCGGGTGAGGATGGAGGTGGATCAAGAGAAACTCTACAGCTTTCCAATTCTCCCAGAAATCTTAACCCAATAAGGTTAGAAATTACTGCTTTTTAAAATAATTAACAGGCCGGGCGCGGTGGCTCATGCCTGTAATCCCAGCACTTTGGGAGGCCGAGGCGGGCGGATCACGAGGTCAGGAGATAGAGACCATCCTGGCTAACACGGTGAAACCCTGTCTCTACTAAAAATACAAAAAATTAGCCGGGTGTGGTGGCGGGTGCCTGTAGCCCCAGCTACTCGGGAGGCTGAGGCAGGAGAATCGCTTGAACCTGGGAGGTGGAGGTTGCAGTGAGCCGAGATCATGTCACTGCACTCCAGCCTGGGCAACAGTGCGAAACTCTGTCTCAAAAAAACAATAACAATAATAATTAACAGCTTTATTGATATATAATTTGCATATTGTATAATTCATTCAAAGTGTACAGTCCACGGTTTTTAGCATATTTACAGAATTGTTCAACTCTCAACACATTTTTAGAACATTTTCTTCACCCCCTAAAAAGCTCCGTTAGTAGACCCAATAGTTAATCTCATTTCCTCCCAACCCCCCAGCCCCATTCATCTACCTTCTATTTCTATGCCTTTGCCTGTTCTAGATATTTCACATGAACGGGGTCATACAATCTATGATCTTTTATGTTTAGCTTAGCATGTTTTCACTTAGCATAATGTTTTCGAGGTTCATGCGTGATACAACATGTATCAGTATATCACTTCTTTTTAGGGCTGAATACTATTCCATTGTATGGATATATGGTAGCATATTTTGTTGATCCAATAATCAGTGGATGGACATTTGTGTAGTTTCTGCTTTCTGCTTTTGGTGAATAAAGCTGCTACGAACATTCTTATACAAGTTTTTGTGTGAACATAGGTTTTCATTTCTCTTGTGTAAACACCTAGGAGTGGAATCGATTGGTCCTATGGTTATTCTATGTTTAACCTTTTGAGGAACTGCCAGACTGTTTGGATTTTGAGATACATCAGGATCATTTCTATTTCAGGGATTAATGGCAAAGTAGTACAAAGGAAGATCAGCCTGGCAGCCGGGCACGGTGCTTCACGCCTGTAATCCCAGCACTTTGGGAGGCCGAGGCGGGTGGATCACGAGGTCAGGAGATCGAGACCATCCTGGCTAACACGGTGAAACCCTGTCTCTACTAAAAATACAAAAAAAAAAAAAAATTAGCCGGGCGTGGTGGCGGGCGCCTGTAGTCCCAGCTTCTCCGGAGGGTGAGGCAGGAGAATGGCGTGAACCTGGTAGGCGGAGCTTGCAGTGAGCCGAAATTTTGCCATTGCACTCCAGCCTGGGTGACAGAGCAAGACTCTGTCTCAAAAAAAAAAAAAAAAAAATGGTTGTATCGAGTGCCTCCTATATGCAAGCACCAAGCAAAGCAGAAGGGACAAAGTAGTAAACAACTGATCTGAGTCCTGCCTCTTGGAGCTTTTGGCCTCTTGGGAAAGAGAGACATTCCACCCCTATATATAAATAGCTAAATCATTAAATAATCATCACTGCACTGGCTGTTAGGAAGTTCTGGTGCTAGGGGATCCTATGAGGGAAGGAGGTGGGGAACCAACCAGGTCTTTTTGAGGCAGCAAGGTAAGGTTTAGCAAGAGACTTGAAAATGAATACATGTTATTTTTGTTTTGTTTTGTTTCCGCCAGACAATGGCAAGGAGGAGGAGAAAGAGAGGGTGTCACAGTGTCCTAACACAAAATGGGAAGAGGCTGGGTCTGGAAAGGGTGGGCCAAAGGTCAGGGTAGCTGGAATGAAGAGGGCGAGGGTGAGAACAGAGGCAAGCAGGGGCTAGATCATGTGAGACCTTTCAGGGAGGCCTTTTCCAGGATTTTGGCTTTTATTCTAAGGGGACTGGAGAGCACTGAGGGTTTTTTTCTTTTCTTTTTTTTTTTTTTTTTGACAGAGTCTCACTCACTCTTGTCACCCAGGCTGGAGTGCAGTGGCGGGATCACAGCTCAGTGCAGCCTCAACTTCCCAAGCTCAGGTGATCCTCCCACCTCAGCCTCCTTACTAGCTGAGATTACAGGCACATGCACCACACCCAGCTAATTTTCTGTATTTTTAAAGTACAGACAGTTTCACCACGTTGGCCAGGGTGATCTCGAACTCCTGGCCTCAAGTGATTTCACCTTGCACCAAGACCCACCTCAGCCTCCCAAAATGCTAGGATTATAGGCAGAAGCCACTGCTCCTGGCAGCACTGAGATTTTACTAAAGGAAAAAAAAAAAAGAAAGAATAAGAGACCAAAGATTGAGCTCTGGGTAGGAGTTTGTTTGTTTTTTTGTTTTATACTGCTAGGCTTGGAAACCCAATTTGGCACAGAATCTAGGTTCTGGGGAATGAGGTTTGGGGGAGAGGAAAGGGAATAGATCTTTAAATCTGGAGAAAAAAAAAAGACAAAATAAAACTCACAAACTTTCTCTGTCCCAAATTAGAAAGGCAAGTGAGCGATGGTGGTGAGATCTGGGCTGATCAATCAGTGTGTTGTGGGCACCCAAGGGCCTTGGGCCCTGTCCCGCTGTTTGATGTCAGGTGAGGTGTCCGATTCAGGATGATGGCATCCAGTTGTCCTAGCAGAAGCGAGGTCTGCACTGCTATCAGCAGGCTATACTGCATATCGGTTTTAAGCCGGGGAGGATTATGATCAGGTTTGCTCTTGGCAAAGATGGCTCTAGCTCCTTCACGGAGAATGGACTGGATAGGGGGCAAGAATAGGAGGAGGCCAGAATCAATGCAGGAAGACCATCTTGTTAAAGGATAATTTTCTTAAAGTTATGACTGCCATATACATATAAACATAAATGGAGATGTCACAAAGATTTTATCTAACTCGCCGGGCGTGGTGGCTCATGCCTGTAATCCCAACATTTTGGGAGGCCAAGGCAGGCCAATCACCTGAAGTCAGGAGTTCAAGACCAGGCTGGTCAATGTGGTGAAATCCCATCTCTACTAAAAATATAAAAAAATTAGCTGGGCGTGGGGACACACGCCTGTAATTCCCGGCTACTGCGGAGGCTGAGGCAGGAGAATCGCTTGAACCTAGGAGGCAGAGGTTGCAGTGAGCCGAGATCACGCCACTGCACTCTAGCCTAGATGACAAAGAAAGACTCTGTCTCAAAAGAAAAAAAAAAAGGAAAAAAAAGATTTTATCTAACTCATCAGTTGAGATAACCAGTATGACATAAAACTGCATTCAAAGAAGAATCCACAGAACAGACACACATATGCACAATCAGGAATGTAGAAACTAATTTGCTAATAGATACAAAAATGTTGTCTTCTACAGGGCAGAAATCACTTGCTACGTAAGTTAACTCTTGTGTCAACAGAGTTCAGAGTTGCAAAATGGTAAAAAGAAAAACAAAAAGAAAGACACAAATCCCTATAGAATCAACCCCGGAAAGGTTTTCTAGAGACAATATCATGGAAAGGAAACCCAGTAATATTTTCAGCCACTTCAAAGCCATTTGCAAACTTCCCTGACAATCTGAGGCTGTGGTCCAGCCAAACTTGGGCTTGTGACTTCTGCACAGGAACACCCTGTGAAACAGATCCTGGTGGGTGCTGTGGTTGAATTGGGGTGGTGGAGTCCAAAGATTTCCCTCACTCCTGGACAAGCAGATCCAGAGATACCACAAGAATCCTAGGACTCTTCAGAATCCAGTTTGAAAATTTATGGCCCTGGTATGTCTCAGGTTCCTTCCTGCTTAGCATTCTATGTTACCTGAACTTTCTAGTCCCTAAATCTTACTCTCAATTATTTCTATTGTTTAAGTACCACCTCCTGCTCATATTTAGATACCTTTAAATGTTAAGGATGAATTGCACAATTTTTAAGAGGCAATCTAGCATAGCAGTTTTAAACACATACTCTTGGAATCAAACTCTGAACTCTGACCTTGGGCGAGTCTCTTAATCTCTCTGTGCCTCTATTTCCTCATCTGTAAAATGGACAGATTCATAGTTCATAGGGTTGCTTTGAGAACTAACTCAATTAATATGTGTGTATATCATTTAGAACAGAACCTGGAATAGGAGATGTATTAGGTATTTTTATTGCTGTGATTCTACTGGTTGAATGAAGCCACAAGCCATCATTCTGGCTCACTGTGCTCACCGGAAGCCTGCTGGTTGGTTGAACTCATGATACCAGTCTCTCCTCAAAATTGGGATCCTTGGCCGGACACAGTGGCTCACAGCTGTAATCCCAGCATTTTGGGAGGCCGAGGTAGGTGGATCACCTGAGGTCAGGAGTTCAAGACCAGCCTGGCCAAAATGGTGAAACCCCATCTCTACTAAAAACACAAAAATTAGCCAGATGTGGTGCCTCACGCCTGTAATCTCAGCTATTAGGGAGGCTGAGGCAGGAGAATCACTGGAACCCAGGAAGCGGAGGTTACAGTGAGCCAAGATCACGTCACTGCACTCCAGCCTGGGCAACAGAGTGAGACCCTATCTCCAAAAAAAAAAAAAAAAAATTGGGATCCTTGATCCTTAACTAATCAACAAGTACCAAGTGTGAATACACAGACAGGAAGAATCAGCCAGCCTCTGAGAACCTTCAAGATCATCAGCATCACATACTTACTGAATGTCCACAGTGCCCACAGTGTGGTGTGGGAGGCTCCAGAGTGGGACCGCTGAAGACCGTGGATGCCCCCCAACCATGCTGCCCACACCATCCTTGGGGACGGAATTAGAGACTCTGGAGGCTGTAGTAGAAACCAGGAGCTCCTTGTGGCCTCTTCCTTTCTGAGGCAGCAAATGTATTGAAGGGACAGGTTAAAGGCTGTTCTCATGCCAAATTTTTGCCCAATCTTCTCTCTTTCCCCGCAAATTTGTCCTGCGCGTCCCTTCTCAGGCTTTGCTCAGGCCCCTAATCAGAGAGAGGGTTGTAGGCGGGTTAGAAGAAGATCCTCCAGGGGAGGTATCTGTGGATTTAAATACATTGATAATAATAATAATTACAATAACAAATCCTGTATAGCACGTACCAAGAGTTTTTTTGCTCTTCAAGAGATGCAGCTGAGAGGTGACAGCATGCTGGCAGCCCTCGCAGCCCTGGCTCACTCTGGGCGCCTCCTCGGCCTTGGAGCCCACTGTGGCCGTGCTTGAGGAGCCCTTCAGCCCACCGCTGCACTGTGGGAGCCCCTTTCTGGGCTGGCCAAGGCCGGAGACGGCTCCCTCAGCTTGCGGGGAGGTGTGGAGGGAGAGGCGTGGGCGGGAACTGGGGCTGCGCACCTGCCAACTAGAGTTCTGGGTGGGCGTGGGCTTGGCGGGCCCCGCACCCCGAGGGGCCGGCCGGCCCCACCGGGCCCGGGCAGTGAGGAGCTTAGCACCCGGGCAAGCAGCTGCGGAGGGTGCGCCGGGTCCCCCAGCAGTGCCGGCCCACCGCGCTGTGCTCGATTTCTCACGGGCCTTAGCTGCCTCCCAGCGGGGCAGGGCTCGGCACCTGCAGCCCACCATGCCTGAGCCTCCCCGCCGCCACCGTGGGCGCCTGTGCGGCCTGAACCTCCCCGACAAGAGCCGCCCCCTGCTCCATGGCACCCGGTCCCATCCACTGCCCAAGGACTGAGGAGTGTGGGCACACAGCGCCAGACTGGCAGGCAGCTCCACCTGTGGCCCCAGTGCGGGATCCACTGGGTGAAGCCAGCTGGGCTCCTGAGTCTAGGGGGGACTTGGAGAACCTTTATGTCTAGCTAAGGGATTGTAAATACACCAATCAGCACTCCGTATCTAGCTCAAGGTTTGTAAACACACCAATCAGCACCCTGTGTCTAGCTCAGGGTTTGTGGATGCACCAATCGGCACTCTGTATCTAGCTCATCTGGTGAGGACTTGGAGAATCTTTATGTCTAGTTAAGGGATTGTGAATACACCAATCGGCACTCTGTATCTAGCTCAAGGTTTGTAAATGCACCGATCAGCACTCTGTGTCTAGCTCAGGATTTGTAAATACACCAATCAGCAGTCTGTATCTAGCTAATCTAGTGGGGCCGTGGAGAACTTTTGTGTCTAGCTCAGGGATTGTAAATACACCAATTAGCACCCTGTCGAAACGGACCAATCAGCACCCTGTCAAAACGGACCAATCAGCTCTCTGTAAGACAGACCAATCAACTCTCTGTAAAACGGACCAATCAGCAGGATGTGGGTGGGGCCAGATAAGAGAATAAAAGCAGGCTGCCAGAACTTGCTGCAGCAGTACCGCTGAGGTCCTTTTGCCTGTGGTGGTAGCCTCGTTTTTTGTTTTTTTGTTTTTTTGTTTTTTTTTTTTTTGCTGTTTGCAGGTAAGTCTTGCAGCTGCTCGCTGTTTGGGTCTACACAGTCTTAATGAGCTGTAATACGTGAAGGTCTGCAGCTTCACTCACCAGGAGCAATGAACAACTCCAGACGCGCCTCCTTAAGAGCTGCAATACACCGCGAGGGTGTGCAGCCTCACTCCTGAACCAGTGAGACCACGAACCCACCAGAAGGGAAAAACTCTGAACACATCTGAACATGAGAAGGAACAAACTCCGGATACGTTGCCTTTAAGAAGTGTAACACTCACCCCGAGGGTCTGTGGCTTCATTCTTGAAGTCAGACCAAGAACTCACCAATTTGGGACACAGCTTACCTCCCTTCCTCCTGAGTGTGGGGTGGCCTTAGTGATTCACTGATACTAGAACGTGTCAGAAGCGAAGGTGTGCAACTTCCAAGACTAGGTCGTAAAAGGCCTTGTGTCTTCCTCCTTGCTCTGTTCCTGGGTTCTTTTAATCTGGAAAGCCAACTGCCATGCCCTCATATAAGGGCACTTAAGCGGCCTTGGGGAGAAGACCACATGGTGAAGAACTGAGACGTCTTGTCAACAGCCAGGTGAGTGGGTTTTTTTTGTTTTGTTTTGTTTTGTTTTGTTTTGTTTTGTTTTGTTTTGTTTTGTTTTGTTTTAACGAGACGGAGTCTTGGCCCTGTTGCCCAGGCTGGAGTGCAGTGGCGCAATCTTGGCTCACTGCAAGCTCCACTTCCTGGGTTCATGCCATTCTCCTGCCTCAGCCTCCTGATTAGTTGGGGCTACAGGTGCCCACTACCATGCCGGGCTAATATTTTGTATGTTTAGTATAGATGGGGTTTTAACCATGTGGGCCGGGCTGGTCTTGAACTCTTGACCTCAGGTGATCCGCTGGCTTCGGCTTCCCAAAGTGCTGGGATTACAGGCGTGAGCCACCGTGCCCGGCCGTGAGTGGATGTTGGAAATGCAGCCTTCTACCTCAGATAAGCCATCAGATGATGGAAGCCCTGGGGAAAACATACTGACTGTACTTTATGATGGACCTGGAGCCAGAACCACGCAGCTGAGCGTCTTCCAGATTTCTGACCCTCAGAAACCATGTAAGATTGGCTGGAGGTGGTGGCTCACACCTATAATCCCACCACTCTGGGAGCCGAGGTGGGCGGATCACCTGAGGTCAGGAGTTAAAGACCAGCCTGGCCAACGTGGTGAAACCCCATCTCTACTAAAAATACAAAAATTAGCCAGGTGTGGTGGCACACGCCTGTAATCCCAGCTACCCAGGAGGCTGAGGCAGGAGAATCGCTTGAACCTGGGAGGCGGAGGTTGCAGTGAACTAAGACCATGCCGCTGCACTCCAGCCTAGGCAACAGAGGGAGACTGCATCTCAAAAAAGAAAAAGAAATCATGTGAGATAATCTTATTTTAAGCTCCTACATTTGAGGTAACTTGTTATGCAGTAGATTAGTCTTCTAGGGCTGCCATTACAAAATAGCACACAGACTGGGTGGCTTTAAAACCAGAAGCTTATTTTCTGACAGTTCTGGAGGCTGGAAATCCAGAGTCAAGGTGTGGGCAGGTTTGGTTTCTCCTGAAGCCTGTCTCCTTGGCTTTGCAGATGGCTGCCTTCTCACTGTATCCTCACATGGCCCTTTCTCTGCACACACACCTGGTGTCTCTCCCTCTTCTTATAAGGGCACCAGTCACTGGATTAGGGCCCCATCTTTATGACCTCAGTTAACCCCAACCTCCTTAAAGGTTCTGTCTCCAAATACAGTCACATGAAGTTAGGGCTTCAACATACAAGTTTTGGGGAGCACACAGTCTTACCTGTAACAATGACAAATGGTTAAATTTTTTTCCTTTATTTTTTTCCCAGTCACTTGAAAATAAGTTCTAGATATCATGATCCTTCACCTCTAAGTACGTCAGCATGTTTCTTTTAACAGTGACACCTGTCATAGTCAGCTGGGAGGTTGGGATGTCCAAGATTAAGGTGCTGGTAAAGTGGGTTTAATTCTGAGGCCTCTTCCTGGCTTGTAGGTGGCTGTCATCTTGTAGTATGCTTGGGGAGAGGAAGATTTAATGTCTCTTCACTTTTTCCTAAGGGCACTAATCCTGTCCTGAGGGCCCCACTGTCATGACCTAATCTAACCCAAATTACTTCCCAAGGGGCCCACCTCCAAATACCATCATATTGGAGGGTTAGGCCTTCAACACATAAATTTGGGAGGTGGGAAGACACAAACTTTCAGTTCACACCAACACCCAGGAAAATTATTTCAACTTATTGAGAATTACAACATCCACAAACTTCGATACTGATTAAATAATATTTAATATACGGTTCCTGTTGGAATTTCCCCAATTGTCCCAAAAGTGCCCTAATGGCTCCCCACTTCATTCAGAGTAAGAGCCAAAGTCCTAACAAAGGCCACAAGACCTTCCACGATGGCTTGTCTGATCGCATCTCCTACCCTCCCGCTTGTTCTCTCCAGCCTCATGGGCGTCCTCCACATTCCTCCGATGTGTGAGGAACACTCCCAGCTCACAGTCCTTGCACTTTCTGTTCCCTGTGCACAGAAGGCTCTCTCACCTCTTTAAAGTCTTGGCTCAAATGGCTGAGATGTCAGCTTCTCCGTGGAGTGGCTACCCTTTCTAAAATTCCAATCCTTACCCCACCACACCCATCTTTTTGCCCTGTGCATTTTCTCTATCAACATATCCTCTTCTAACATACTGCATAACTTACTTGTCGATTTTGTTTAATATCTGTCTCCATTGTTAGAATGTAAGCTCCATGGCTGGGCGCGGTGGCTCATGCCTGTAATCTCAGCACTTTGGGAGGCCGAGGCAGATGGATCACGAGGTCAGGAGATGGAGACCATCTTGGCTAACGGTGAAACCGCGTCTCTACTAAAAACACAAAAAAGTAGCCGGGCGTGGTTGCGGGTGCCTGTAGTCCCAGCTACTCTGGAGGCTGAGGCAGGAGAATGGCGTGAACCTGGGAGGCGGAGCTTGCAGTGAGCCAAGATCAGGCCACTGCATTCCAGCCTGGGTGAGAGTGAGACTCCGTCTCAAAAACCACACACACACACACACACACACACACACACACACACACACACACCGTAAGCTCCATGAGAGCAGGGTTTTTTTGTTGTTGCTGCTGTTGCTGGCTGCACTATCCCCACTGCCTAGAATGGTGCTTGGTACAAACATCAATTGTTCGTAGGATAGATGGAGTGAGAGAATGAGGGATTTAGGAAAAACGCCTCCTATGGATCTTAGCAAAGGGCTACTGGGTGACGCAATGGTAATGAATTGCACACTACCCCTGCTGGAGAAGCTGAACACTTCTTGGGGAGACCCAGACAAGATAAGGCGAGCCTTGTTAGCCAGACAGGGGCTAAGGGGCAAAGGGGTGTGGTGGATATCTCACCCCTGCCACCAGGATTACTTGTGCTATGGGTCACATCTTATCCCATATTTCCTCTCATTTCTAAACATCTTTGTACTCTTTTATTATTATTGATTGATTGATTTCAATTGAGACAGAGTCTCACTATGTTGCCTAGCCTGGACTCGAACTCCTGGGCTCAAGTCATCCTCCTGCCTCAGGCTTCCTAGTAGCTGGGAGTACAGGTGTACATCCCCATGCCTGGCTTTATGCTCTCCCTTAAGGAAGACTTAATAATATTAATAAATGCCATCATATATCATGCTTACCATGTGACAGGCACAGTGCCAGACGCTTTTAAACTAATGTCTCATTTAATCTTCTTAATGATCTTACACGGCAATTATTACCATAAATCTCATTTCATAGATGATACAGAAGTTTAGCTGACTTTTAAAATTAATATTTATTGAAATTACAATTCAAAATCATAGCTCTTTAAGCTTCAGCTTTCTAATCTTATCCCGTTGATGTCCAACATATTTTACCTATCACTTTTAAAAGGATTTTGGATGTGTGGTTCCAATTATAAGGTTAAATTCCTTTTAAAGATTTAAAATTGCATTGAGACACTTACTGTGTTCTGTTTCCTTTTATGTACTTTAATGGCCTGACTTAACAACAAAACCTTTTCAAGTGTTTAAGTTTAGATTATTCATGCGATAAATTAAACTTGCAAATATGACAACCTTAGGGTTCTCTTAAATGTTCCAATACTATATATACGCTTAGGAAGTTTTCAGTTTAAAGTCATAAGTCTGAATCAATTAAATACTTACTAATTTTCAACTGGAATTTTGACATTTTTTTCTGTAAATAGGCTAAATTCTAGTAAGCATTATATATACATAAACATGCCTAGATTCTTTTACATGAAAACATTAATATCATGATTCCCTTAAACTTTCTATACTTAATTTTAAACCCTCCTGGGGTTAAAAGATTCTCACCAAGGAAAATGTAACATCATTTCCAGTTTTGGGAGTGCCTTCTCCACTCTCCTGAGATTACATAACAACTACTCTGCCTTATCTATCTTGCTGTGTCAATGACCCCATAATTCAAACAAAGTGCCACATAGACCAGGACACCTAGATTTAAGTTGTATGTTACACCCCTACCCAGGAAGCTCTACCACCTGATTTGATTTTGCTCATCTTTGGTTTTTCAAACTGGTAAAGTTGTTTATGTCTAACACTAAAGCTCTTTGAACCAGATGGAATTCAACATTCTTTCAAATTCTACTCTCTTTAGACTTCACAAGTCTTAGAGATAATAAAATGATTTCTGAAGAAATCATGGCTTAGGAATGAGCTGTTTTTCATCTACTGGAGGAACTTCAGACATTTGTCAGCCATAGGAACAGACTTGGGAGTCATTAGTTCCTTCCTAGGTTTGTGACACCCTGTACTTCCAGAGTTCAAGGTCAACCAACTCTTAGGACAGTAAATAGACTTTCTGCAGGAGTCCTGTTTGGATTCTCTCCTGCCTTAAAGTATAAAAGTCACACAGATGGGACCAGGAAGACAGAGAAGCCACCATCTAAAATTAGATATGCTCTGGAAGGCATGTCGGAGCGCCTGAGTCATTCATCACCTCTTTTGAATTACAAACCTGCGGTCGCGCACAGTGGCACACACCTGTAATCCCAGTACTTTGGGAGGCCAAGGCAGGCGGATCACCTGAAGTCAAGAGTTCGAGACCAGCCTGGTCAACATAGTGAAACCCCGTCTCTACTAAAAATACAAAAATTAGCCAGGCATGGTGGCGCACACCTGTGATCCCAGCTACTCAGGAGGCTGAGGCAGGAGAATCACTTGAACCCAGGAGGCAGAGGTTGTAGTGAGCCAAGATCACCTGGGTGACAGAGCCAGACTCCGTCTCAAAAAACAAACAACCAACCTGGTTATGCTGGTATGGGAGGTGACATTGTTTTTTGTTTTTTGACGGAGTCTGGCTCTGTCTCCAGGCTAGAGTGCAGTGACACGATCTCAGCTCACTGCAACCTCCGCCTCCCAGGTTCAAGAGATTCTCCTGCCTCAGCCTCCCGAGTAGCTGGGATTACAGGTGTGCGCCACCATGCCTGGCTAATTTTTATATTTTTAGTAAAGACAGAGTTTCACCATGTTGGCCAGGATGGTCTCGATCTCTTGACCTCATGATCCGCTGAGCTCGGCCTTCCAAAGTGCTGGGATTACAGGCATAAGCCACCGTGCCTGGCCTTGTTCCCATTTTTAATTAATTCATTCATTATTGTTTATATATTATGAATAATGTCATTGTCTTCAAGAAGCTCACCATCTACCAAGGAGACATACCAGCCAGGGTTCCAGGCTGAAGGTAGCCTACATTGTGGGAAGAGTTGATAAAGTGCAGTGGGAATCAGGAGAGGGAGGGGTGGTGGCAAGCTGATGGAATGTCATCAGAGAAGGCTTAAGGAAGGGGACGTTTGATATCCAATTGTGTTTGCCGAGTACCTATTGTATGCCAGGCACTGCTGCGAGAGGGACTTAGGGATGAACAAGAAACAAGAAAACATTAAGTTAATTTGAGGTCGTGAGGAGTTAGTGTTTATTGCGATCTTGCCATGTGCAGACACTATTCTAAGAGCTTTTCATAGATTGACTCACTTAATCCTCGCAGTCCTTCTGTGAGGCTGGAGACCATTATTATCCCCATTTTGTAGGCGAGGAGTCTGTTTCAATTATCCATTGCTACATAACAATCTACCCCAAAACTGAGTGGCTTAAAACAGCAATTTTATTTGTTCGCAATTTGGGGGTTCAGAAACTCAAGCAAGGGCTTAGTGGAAACAGTTCATCTCTACGCTGCGGTGTTAGCCCTGGTTGGAGCTGGAGGATCAAAATGGCCTTACTCAGTTGACTCGGGCTGTGGGGCTAGCTGTCAGCTGGGGCATGTCAGTTGTCCTTTCTGTGACCTCTCTCTCTAGCAGGATAGCTAGAACTTCTGTATATGGTGGCCAGCTTCCCAGAGTACAAAAACAGAAGCTGCAAATGACATAGCATCATGTCCACCACATTTGATGGGTTCATGAATGTCACAGAGCCAGCAAAGATTCAAACGGAAAGGAAACTGACATGGAGAAGTGGCAAACTCACCTTGCAAAGGGCACACAGGATGGAAACGATTGCTGTGGCAATCTTTGGAAACGATCTTCTTCAGATATGGAGTTTAAATAATTTGCTCAAGATCATACAGCTAATAATTAGGCTATGGGGATCAGTAGGGTAAAAGTTAGATGTGCAGAAATGTGGAGAAGGACATTTCAGATTAAAGGATGCATGTGAATGAGGGCCCATTGACGTGAAAACCTGGAGTGTGATTGTTCAGTTTGCTGTGTGAGAAGAAAAACTTTAGACAAATTGAATTTAACAGAGTTTAACTGAAGAAAAAACGTTTGAGAATTGGGCAGCCCCCGAACCAGAATGGGTTCAGAGCGATTCCCGAGACTGCCATATGGTTGGATAACATTTATGGACAGAAGAAGGAAAGTGACAAACAGAAAAGGAAAGTGAGGTATAGAAACAGCAGGGTTGGTTACAGCTCAGTGTCTGCCATCTTTATGGCTTGAACAGTGGGCCGCCTGTGATTGGTTGGAATTCTGTGACTGGTAGAAGAGTAGATTACAGACTTATTTACACATCCAGTTAGGTTACAATTCACTATGTATGGAGAAACCTTTAGGCCGCACTTAAAATATGTAAGAAGGCAGCTTTAGGCGACAGTTTATGTAACAGCTGGAAGAAGTAGGTGGACAAGAATGAACAAAAAGGATAGGCTGAGGCCAGATGGTGGATGACTTTGAAACCAGGCTAAGTGATTTGGAATTGGCTCTGCAGGCAATGGGAAGCTATGAAAAGGCTTCGAGCAGGAGAGTGACTTGATCAAAATCATGCTTTAGGAAGATTAGCCCTATGTATTGTGGACGAATGGAGGCAGCCCAATAAATGAGGAGACCTCCATAGGCACAATGAAGACCTGACCTAGGTAGCATTTGTGGAAATAGGGGCTGGATATAAATGCGGGAAACATCACATGGGTGAATTTGACACACGTGGTTTTTTTTTGTTTGTTTTGAGACAGAGCCTAGCTCTATCACCCAGCCTGGAGTACAGTGGCACGATCTCTACTCACTGCAAGCTCCGCCTCCCGTGTTCACACCATTCTCCTGCCTCAGCCTCCCAAGTAGCTGGGACTACAGGCGCCCGCCACCACGCCCAGCTGATTTTTTTTTTTTTTTTTTTTTTTTTTTTGTATTTTTAGCAGAGATGGGGTTTCACCGTGTTAGCCAGGATGGTCTTGATCTCCTGACCTCATGATCCGCCCACCTTAGCCTCTCAAAGTGCTGGGATTACAGGTGTGAGCCATCGTGCCCGGCCCACACATGGTATTTTATAGATGAAGAAATTGTTACTCTGAGAGGTTTACCTTCCAAGACCTCTTAGAGCAAATGGCAAAGGCAGATGGTAAGAGCTCAGTTGGTAAAAATAAGTGGAGGCTAGAGCCCACATGGGAATAGAGCCTTTGAGCCCCTAGTCCATTCAAGCACAATGAGAGTGTTCATAGTAGAGTACCATAAAACTTGGGGACAAAAGTGGCTAATCTCTGGGGCACACTGGCATCAGCATAGTGTTGCTGCCAATCCCACGAGTTGGCCAAGGAGGAGAGTATTTGGCTTGAGCTAACAGGAAGTGTCTGCTCTGGTAGATAACCTGCAGCCTTCCTGCTCTGAAGTGCCCACTTAGAAGGGAGTGAGGCCTAGTCCATGCAGGGTTAGATTGAGGCTGGGTGTGGAGGGGAAGCTAGGGGTTTAAATTTTGCTCCTTCCACATACACCCTGAGTTGCTTTGGGGTTCTTTCTAAATAAGAACACATTTTAAAGGCAGCAGGGAAGAGAGAAGAGATGTGATATTCAGTTCTTTCAAAGCTTTTAGTTTGAAAAGACTTAAGTTTTTTTGTTTTGTTTTTTGAGACAGAGTCTCACTGTGTCCCCCAGGCTGGAGTGCAGTGGCGCGATCTCGGCTCACTGCAAGCTCCGCCTCCCAGGTTCACGCCATTCTCTTGCCTCAGCCTCCCGAGTAGCTGGGACTACAGGCGCCCGCCACCACGCCTGGCTAATTTTTTGTATTTTTAGTAGAGATGGGGTTTCACCATGTTAGCCAGGATGGTCTCCATCTCCTGACCTCGTGATCCGCCCGCCTCAGCCTCCCAAAGTGCTGGGATTACAGGCATGAGCCACCGTGCCTGGCCCTAAGAATTTTTTAAAGAAGAAGAAGGAGCTGTTCGATCTCATTATTAGCATCTCTAGCTGGAAGGAGGACCCCAGCCCCCTCTACTAGCTGCTCTTTGGGGATGGTGTCTTCTATTCTTCTGACACACTTCATGCAAGGAGAGCTCATTTTGGCTTCCTCAAAAATTGGACTCTAAATTTAGAATTGGCCTCAAAACTTCTGATCTTTGAGCTCAACTTGTCTGGGTTGGCCCAGCCTGCAACAGCCACCTCTTATCACCATTAATGTTGTTCCTATTTGGTTCGCTGGTTGTCTTAGAAACACAGATTGGTATGAGCTGTCACAGCCACGAAACATAAGCCAGAGCCCACCAGTCTACCCGGGCAGGACCCTGTTCCTGCTCTGTTCTTGTAAATAATGTTCTCTCCAAGCAGAAAATATTTCACCCTCATTTTCTAAGAGCTGGACCCCTTGGGCCCATTCCAAATTCCTTCTGGTCTCCCTTCCATCTGTTGCAAGTTCCTTCTCAGCCTTCTCACCCTTGGAATCACCAGAAAGAAGAGGAAGTAGTCGTTGGTGTGTGCCTCGGCCCAGCTGCCTGCCATCTGGACTCAGACCCACAGACCCCTGGTCTTCCACCATAATCCTGCCCTTCCCCTCACCTCCCTCCTCATAGCCATGTCGGAAGAAGGAGCCAAGGGCCAAGGGGCCTACCAGTCCCCAACGGGTGGTCCTTCATGTTTCTGCATCTAACCAAGGAGCTGTCATCTTCCTGAGAGCCCAGCGGTGTCCATTCAGTGCACAACAGCTGGCTGGGTCTGAGTTCTGAGCTCTGCCCCTCGTTCTGTCTGTCCCTGGATGAGTCACTTGATTTTCTAACTGGACCTGTTTGCTCATCTGCAAAATGAAGAGGTAAAACAAGCTGGCCTCTAACCTTCTGTGCACTTAAAACATTCCATGCCGCTATGACCATGACCAGCTTTGACTGGAGAAAGTGTCCGTTAGCATTAAAGAGAGGAGCATCACACGATGTCATCCACAACGTCCCTGCAGAGCACACAGTGATGAACATGTTGGAGAGTTCCAGCATTCCTCAATGAAATCCAGAGATATAACACCCTCGAACTCAATTCAGAATGGTTTTTCAGGAGGCCAAAGCCATCTGGATCTTATTTGTGGTAGTTTTGAAGGTCCACAGTGATCTAAAGAGAAAAGCTACATTCTCTAGAGCAGTGCTTTCCAAAGAACACCAGAATCTCGTGCGTGGTTGTGCTTCACAAACCTGCTGCCAAATAGGCTTGGGGAAAGCTGGGTTTCTTTACTGCAGGATTTTTCAGAGCTGCTAATAGGCTAATGTGCCCTGAACTTTGAGCCGCTACTAGAGACATTTTGCTTCATCTTCTTAACTGCCTGTTTGGTTTTGCTATTTTGCTAATTCCGTTTTAGAGATGAGAAAAGGGGGCTCAGAGAGATTAAGTAACAGCCCAGAGTCCTAGAGCTTGGAAGTGAAGGGGCTGGGATTTGAACTCAGGTCTAGTCTGAGTCTATGGCCCTGTTTCTAACGCTGCTGTATTTTCATTCTATGTGAGTAAGCTCCAGGAAGTTTCCAGTCCTGAGATGCTGCCTTAGTCTCAGCTAAAACATCTCAGAGAAAATGAAACAGAGGGTAGGTTTCTGGGGAAGCAGAGGGGGTGCTGCTGTGTTTGTGTATTTAAAGCCTCAGGCATAAGGACCTGTTCCCTGGGGACAATTCATGCTGGGGGGATGAGGACTCACAGGTGTCTGCACTACTACTCACAACTCCAGTCTCTGGAAGATTAAGTCAGGTGAAGAGTGCCATGCTTTTACCAAAAAAAAAAAAAAAAAATACACAAAGACTTCGTGGCGGTTCCAAGGTACTCATTCTAGAGAAATCCACTGTGGCACCCCAGATTTGTACCACATGACTCCCCTCCCCCACATAACTGATGGACAGGGTCAGCATCAGCCCCTTGGTGTCCCATGGCCGGAGGGGGGAAAAGGTGAGCTGGGCCATCAGGTTCTATTTTGTGAATTAGGACTAGAGAATGCAGAGAGACTGGCTTGGTCATGAATCACTGATTCATTCTTTCATTTTTTTCTTGCAAGCATTTATTGAACACACTGTCATGGGCAAGAGACACAATGGCCAGTGAGTCCATTGTCCCTGTTCTCAAGCAGAGACAGACCTCAAATAAAAATAACGCTCACGAGGGGTATAATTGCAACCCAGGTCAGTTCTCTGAAAAGAGGGAACATTGTCCTATGACTATATGTATCGAAGGAGCACGCTCTGGTTTAGGGAGCTGTTGTGTGGCTGTGGAGGGGTGCTATGCATGTGTCCCTTGAAGAGACGGTTTTGTGAGGCATGTGGTTGGCTGACAGCTTCCAACTGCTACACCTTCAAATCTCCCCCAGCGTGACACCAACACTTCTCCCTCCCCAGGTAGCTCTGGGCCAATGACCAAACACAGAAGGGATATTACCAGCAGGTCAGCTCTTCATCCTTTACATCATTAACCCCAGGTAAATCTCCTGCATATCTAATCCCACTTTGATATCTGCTTCTCAAAGGACCCAAACTGACACAGAGGTTAGAGGAGGTGCTCCCTGGGAAGTGAAACAGAGCTGGGATCAGAAAGACAAGTGGGCCGGGTGCAGTGGCTCACACCTGTAATCCCAGCACTTTGGGAGGCCGAGGCAGATGGATCAACTGAGTCAGGAGTTCAAGACCAGCCTGGCCAACATGGTGAAACCCCATTTCTACTAAAAATACAAAAAGTAGCCAGGCATGGTGGCAGACGCCTGTAATCCCAGCTACTTGGGAGGCTTAGGCAGGAGAATCACTTGAACCTGGGAAGTGGGGGTGGCAGTGAGCCGAGGTCACGCCACTGCACTCCAGCCCAGGCAACAAGAGCAAAACTCCATCTCAAAAAAAAAAGTGGACCTCAACCAAGGAAGAGGATAGTTGGACAAAATTGGGTGCAGGTGGGGGAGGAACATTTCATTTGGGACCAACAGCATGTGCAAAGACCCTGTGGTAGAAGGGGGTGAATGTGGCAGAAGTGTAGTGAGTGAGGGGAGACTGGAGATGGGGGCGGGGAGCAGGGCCAGAGCACACAGGGTCTCGTGGGCCATGGGAAAGATTTGGGTCATTATCTGCAGAGCAATGAGATGCTCGTGAATGATTTTAAGTGGTCAAGTGTGCAAGGGGTAAATGATAAGACTGGGGCTTTTGCAGCTTTACCCTGGCTGTTGTGTGGAGAATGAAGTGGAGAGAAGAGCAAGGAGGTACTGCCGTTATCTAAGGGAGGAATGATGGCTTGCACAAGGGCGGTGGCAGCACAGATGGAGGTAAGTGGATGGATGTGAACTATATTGAGGAGGAAAAGCTGGGATTGGAGTTAGATTGGATGTGGAGACAGCAAGACAGAAAAAGGCCTGAGGGGCTGGGTGCAGTGGCTCACACCTGTAATCCCAGCACTTTGGGAAGCTGAGGTAGGTGGATCACTTGAGGTCTTTGAGACCAGCCTGGCCAACATGGTGAAACCCCATCTCTACTAAAAATACAAAAATTAGCTGGGCTTAGTGGCACACACCTGTAATCTCAGCTACTCAGGAGGCTGAGGCAGGAGAATCACTTGAACCCGGGAGGTGGAGGTTGCAGTGAGCCAAGATCGTGCCACTGCACTCCAGCCTGGGCGACAGAGTGAGACTCTGTCTCAAAAAAAGAAAAAGGTCTGAGGGATGACTTTAGGTTCCTGGTTGGGGAAACTGGATGGATAGCAGAGGTGCCATCCACTGAGATGAAGAACCTTGGAAAAGCACCAGTTTTCTGGGGAAAGATCATGAGTTCATTCTCTTCAATAGTTAATTTGAAGTGTCTTTGAAATATACAAGTAAAGATGTATTGTATACAGTCAGATATGGGCCTAGAGCTCAGAGACTCAAGGCCAGAGATGCAGATTTTAGGACTGTATTAGTCAGGGTTGGCTAATATATATAATGGTTAAGAAAGAAAAATCACAAGAAAGAAAAAGAAGATCTGAACAATGCTGTCAACCACTTGACCTAACTGACATTTGTAGAACACTCCAAGTACACATTGTACATTCTCCAAGATAGACCATAAAACGAGTTGGGCCATAAAACGAGTCTCAATACATTTCAAACTATTGAAACCTTCGATAAATCTTAATTTATTGAAATTAGAAGTCAATTACAGTAAGATATCTGGCACAACCCAAATATTTGGAAATTAAATACACACTTCCAGATAACCCATGGGTAGAAGAATAAGTCACAAAGAAAATGAGTAATTAAAAATTATTTTGCACTGAACAATAAATAAAAGTATAATCTATCAAAATTTGTGATTTACAACTAAAGGAGTGCTTAAAGGAAAATATTTAGCTTTATTAGGAAAGAAGAAAGATGTAAAAGTAAGGATCTAAGGTTCCACTTCAAAAAGCTAGGATAAAAAAGAGCAAAGTAAACTTTAAGTAGAAGAAAGGAAAAAATAATAAAAAAACAGTCAATATTTGTGAAGCAGAAAACATATAAGAAGAGAAAATTAACAAAGCCAAAAGCTGGTTCATTGAAAATATCAACGAAATTTATAAACTCCTAGCTGGCTAGGTTGATTAAAGAGACAGCATGCAAATTATAAATTTAGGGAATGAAAGGAGATATTGATAGTAACAGGAGGCAGTCAAATGCCTCGGCAGACAGGAGCAGGTCCCTGGTGAAGCCCCACCTCCAAACCAAAGACAGTTTAAAGCCTGAAAGCCAAACTACAAGTTAAATCCTTGGACTGGATTAAGAATTTGTCCTCCTGTTTGGTGTGCCTTCCTCTGATTGATCCCCACCTTTCACCTATTTTACATATACCTACCCTTTCCTAATTGGTTTTCTACACTGTCATGCCCACCTTTGAGTGATCTCTTAATTTTAACCTTCTTTGCATACTCACAAACCAATCAGCACACACTCCCCATCCTGTGCCTATAAAGACTCAGTCAGTAGAAGGGGAGATGGCCTGACTTCGAGGAAGAGACAACCTGACTTTGGGGAAGACAACCTTCCCTTCCCATCCCCTCTCCAGCTCCCCTCTCCACTGAGAGCTGTTTCCGTCACTCAATAAAATGCTCTGTCTTCACCCACTCATTGGGTCCCAAGCTCTTGTCCAGCATCCAGGCAGAATGAGGTCATGCAGGTGATGGAAGAGTTTCTTCCTGGATGCTGGATAAGACCTCAGGACCCACCAAGTGCAGGTACCCAGAAAAGGCTGTCACAATGGCCCTTTGCCCTCAGCAGCGGAGGGCAGCTACCCCACATGACGAGGCAAGGGGCCAACTAAGCTGCTAACACACCACTGTCCATCAGACCATGGACAGTGGAACTAAAAGACTACTATAACACACCCCCTTTGGGGCCTCGGGGTCATGGGCAACCTCACCTGGGTGTCACTGTTCCCCTCAAGGTGACACACCTGGTCTGGCCACAGGCCCCCCAAACAGAGCTTGCTCCTGTGGCAAGCCAGATCCTGCAGCGAGCCAGATCCTGCACTCACTCTCTCACATGCTCCCTCCCTCAAGGGGCTGAGCGCAGTGAGCCAAATAGATGGGGCGCCCCTGCCACAAGTTCGGCAAAGGGGCCGAAAAAAATCCTGCATCAATATCACCACAGAGCCCACAGGCATTAAAAGGTAATAAGAAAATATTATGAACAACTTTATGCCAATAAATTTGGCAACTGAGACGGGCAAAATGGCTTGATAAGATTACAAAATGAAATCCAAAATCTAAATAGTTCCATCTATTAAAGAAATTGAATTCATTATCAGAACATTTCCCACAAAGAAAACTTCAGAAGATGATAGATCGTAAATCTTTTCAACGTACACACAAAGGGTAACTATGTAGAAGAGGTAGATATTTAATTGGCTGTGTTGTGATCATTTCACAATCTATATCAAAACATCAAGTTGGGGGATGGGGGGCTAGGGGAGTGATAGCATGAGGAGAAATACCTAATGTAGATGACAGGTTGATGGGTGCAGCAAACCTCCATGGCACATATGTAACAAACCTATGTATACCTATGTAACAAACCTGCACATTCTGCACATATATCCCAGAACTTAAAGTATAATAAAAAATATTATTTAAATAAAACTATTGTTTAGAGTTAAATCAAGTTGTACAGCTTAAATATGTACAATTTTTAAATGTCAATGCTATATAAGTAGAGCTTTTGAAAAGAAAGAAAAGACAGAAAGAGAGACAAAGAAGAAAGAAAGAGGAAGGAAGCTCCTAGCCCAGATAGTTTCCCTGGTGAATTCTATCAAACATTTGAGAAAGAAGTTACACAAATCTTAAGCAAATTCTTTCAGAAAATAGAGCAGGAAAGAACTCTTCTCAGTTTGTTTGAGGAGGCTAGCAATAACCAGATACCAAAATCTAACAAAGATGTTACAAGTAAATAAATAGATACATAAATAAATAATGCCAAACCTCAGTATCTTAATTCAGTTAAGATCTATTTCTCCAAAGCGGATACTAGGGAAGACTGCTCATCATAGACCCTCAGAGACCAGGCTGAGGAAACTTCCATCTCAGCAGGTGCTTCCACTATGATTAAGGCAGAGACAGGGACATCGTGAATTGCAAGTTGACTCTGAAAGATTCTGTCCGGAAGTGACGTGTCATTTACTCTCATCTTCATAACCATGTCCCAAGGAGGTGAGGAAGTCCTAACATGTTCTTGGAAGCAGAGGAGAAGGAAGAGCTGTTATCACAAGGGTCACAAATGTATATATAGTAACAGAAGAGCCTAAATAACTAACACACAGCCCAGGCACATGGTGAAACCCTGTCTCTACAAAAAATACAAAAAGTAGCCCGGTGTGGTGGCATGCACCTGTTGTCCCAGCTACTCAGGAGACTGAGGTGGGAGGATCGCTTGAGCCTGGGAGGCGGAGGCTGCAGTGAGCTGAGATTGCACCACTGCACTCCAGCCTGAGTGACAGAGTGAGACCCTGTCTCAGAAAGAAAGAAAGGAACACAGACAACTGCCCACTGAGAAAGTACAGCGTGGACAGCAAGGGGGCCCTGGGCCAGCGCTTGAGGAACCCCACCAGCCTGGCAGTGGACCTGAGCTGGCGAAGGAGGCTGAAACGGGGCAACAGAGAGAAAGAGGCGAAACATCTGGTGAGTTCAATGAGAAACTTGACCATCTGTGTCTAGTGTGATTGTGGGTCATGCAAGGTGAGGACTGGAACAACTAGGATGTCACTGGCACCGCAGCAAGACTTACGTCAATGGAGTGATGGAGAGGAACCCAGAATGGAATGAGCAAGAACTGAGTGAGGGGAAGAGACGAAAATGGGGAATGTGGAAAAACCTTTCCAGAAGCTGGTCGTGAAGGGAAGGAAGGCAGTAACTGGAGAAGGTCTTGTGTTGGAGAGGGTTGGTTGGTTTGTTCTTTCAGTGGGAGAGACCTGAAATGTTTAAATGTTGATGGGAAGGGTCTGGTTTGGAGGAAGCGGTTAAATATAGAAGAGAAGCGAGTCACCCATAGTATAAGGCTCCTGGAAGCTGGAGGCTGAAAGTTGACAGTGAAGAATGCCATGAGGTGGAATGGGGAGGCCATGGCAAGTGCCACATCTTAGCAGGTGCGTAGTGAGAAAAGACACAGCCCCTGAGAGACAGGCTGAGACTCACTGGTCCCTGGGGCCACTTCCGCTCTGACTTCCAGTTCCAGTTCTGGTTCTTCTGCGTGTCCTTACAACAACCTCCTTTTTCCCGACGATATGTGTTCATTCAACAAATATTTATGGGCCACCTACTACATGCTAAGCCCAGTCCTGACAGCTGCAGAGAGGGCAGTCAGCAAGACCGATGCCCGTCCCTACCCTCAGAATCTTTTCTTGCATCCGACGAAGCTGAGTGACCAATCCCTTTGGCAATACAGATGCCCTCCATTTGGATTGGTTTATGAGAGAGCAACAAATAGAGGCAACAGATATGAGGGTCAGAAGATAGTGCACTTCCCATAACAGGAAGGGGGCTCTTGGACACAGCTCCTCTTCTGGAAGGTCTTGGGGGCTTTGTTGCGGGGAGGTGTCCAGATGTGTCTCTGGGGTAACTGGATGCAGAGATTCGCTCTCTGCTGTGAAGGTGCTGAGATAGGCACGTGCCTGTGCTGAATCCTATACAAAGAAAGCGAAAGAAACCAACAAATTGACCCCCCCCACACACACACATAGAAGCATCTCCACTGTTTGTTTGCTGTTGCTGTTCTTTTCTTTTTTGGTGTAGAAATTGAGCACATACACAAAGGAATCTCCACTGCCCATCACTCTAGCTGCTGCTGACCTCTCCTCCAAACACTCCTATGTGCTCCATGTGTCCCATTTGACTACGAGTCACATACTTTCTCTAACATCTTAGTTTCAGCTACTCAAAACCAGCACTGATTCTGGTCTTTTCTGTTATGTGGGCCCATACATTTCTTTCTATACTTCAGTTTAAAATGAATTTTTTTGGCCAGGCATGGTGGCTCACACCTGTAATCCCAGCACTTTGGGAGACCAAGGTGGGACGATCACCAGAGGTCAGGAGTCCAAGACCAGCCTGGCCAACATGGTGAAACTCTGTCTCTACTAAAAATAAAAAAATTAGCTGGGCGTGAGGGCAGACACCTGTAATCCCAGCTACTCGGGAGGCTGAAGCAGGAGAATCACTTGAACCCAGGAGGCAGAGGTTGCAGTGAGCCAAGATCGCGCCACTGCACTCCAGCCTGGGCAACAAGAGCAAAACTTCTTCTCAATAAATAAATAAATAAATAAATAAATAAATAAATAATAAAATAAATAAAATAGAAGTTTAAATCTCTTGTAGTGAAAAGAATCTTATCTAAGAGACCCAGAGTCAAGTCCTGCCCCACCTTACCTGCCTGCCACCCTGGGCCAAGCACCCCATCAAGGACATCTCTGCCTGTATTAGTCATCTATGGCTGCATGACAAATTACCCCAAAATTTAGTGACTGCAGTGGCCAATCTCCAAGATGGCCTTAAAGACCCTCACCTCCTGGAACTGGTGCCCTTGCATAGTCTCCTCCCTGATGGTATCACAGTAGCTCTGAACAGAATACAACGGAAGTGACTGTGCGGCTGCCAAGGGTGGGTCATAAAAGACAGTGCACCTGCCCTTCACTTGCCCTAAGCATGTCCCACTGCATTGCATTGGGATTTCCAAACGAATACACAGGCACGTCCCTGGCCTAGCCCTGAGGAGCCAAGGAGGTGGAAGCAAAGCCTCGGCTGAGTCCTAAAATATGATCCTCCCCTCTGAATGCACAGGGAACACAGGTCTCTGAGGCATGTGCCATGAAGGACACTCACCCTTCAGAACAGGCTTTCGAACCCTCCAGGATGCCAGGGAACACATCTGATCAATGTATCCACACTAAAGCGGAGCATCAGACAGATCCCCAGGCCCTATCTCCCTCCTGGACCACACTGGAGGGCTTTCTCAGGGACCTCCTGCAGCCAATGCCCACCACTGTGGTCAGCTAAAGGAGGAGCCACAGTTCCCGCGGGCGAGGCGTGAGGGGACACACATCCGAGCTGAGCCTTGGATGGGGGAGGCTGGGCTCTAGACTCTGTGCTTCGCCCCCCACTCCCACCACCTCTGCTGACCAGCTGTCTCCGCTGCTGTCTGTGTCTTCCCCTTGCGGAGAGCCCAGAGCATTCTCCAGCTCCCTTTCCATCAACAGCCTCCTGGCTCTCCCGCCCACGCACTTCCCACTTCCACTCCTCCTCTCCCCTTCCTGGCTGAGTGCCCTCCCCCAGGCCTGCCGTCTCTCCCTGGTTCTCATTTGAACATCATTTTTCTTCTTTTCTTCCCTTTTGCTAAATGTCCTTGCTTATGTGATGTGGCATTGAGTATACATTTCCGGGCATATTCGTGTGTGTGTGTGCGCGCGCGCGCGCGTGCACACGTGCCTGACCTGACCCATGCTCCGCGGTGGTGGACTGAGCTGTGAGATAGAAGGCTGGGAGCTGGGAGTGGGAGATGGTGACAGAGACCCAGTCCCTTTAACATCTCCTAGAAAAAGGCTCCATGCTCTGGCCCCTGTTTACCTCCAGCCTCACGTCTCTCCACACCTGGAGGCACTCAGCCCCATCTGGTCTCTCTCCCCCGCTTTCTCTCCTCAGCCCGGGGTTTCCGGTTCTAATCCCCATCCATCATTAGGCTAACTACTGCTTGTTCTTTAAGATTCAGCTCAAGTGTCGCCTCCTCCCAGAAGCTTCCTTGAGCCCTTGTGTCTGGCTGGATGCCCCGTATGGCAGCAGTCCATTGCCTCATCCAGGACACGCTGCGTGAGAGCCAGGATCTGCTCTATACTGTCACCTTCCTCTGGCCTCCTGCACAATGTCTGGCCCAGAGTGGGAGCTCCCTTGCAGGGTGGTGCACGCAGCCATGCATCAGGTGTGGATGCTGGGGACAAGGCAGAGCAGAAGAAAGGAAGAAAGAAAGTTTGGGGAGAGAAAAATTGTGTGTGTGTGTGTGTGTGTGTGTGTGTGTGTAAATTTTATTCTATTTTGTTCCCCCAGATAAGCTATGTGGACTGAACATTTTTCCTGGCAGGTTAAGGTTCAAGGGAATTTAAGGGATGTTGGGGGCCATGTGATCTTTGGGATTGGGGGTGGACAGAACCCCAGTGGGACTATGCCCCCCACCTCCTACCCACATACATACTGGCGCCACACTAGGCTGCTTTCTGGAAAGAATGTGAGTTATCACTTAGTTTCTAATCTTCCTGGTTTAAGGCCAGAGGCAAATACATTGGCAGCTCAGGCCCTCGCTAATTATCCTCCCCACCCCAAACAAACGTTGGGGTGAACGGGTGAAGGGATGGCAGCCCCGCCCCCAGCTCCCTGCTCCCCCAGTCAATCTCTGAGCCCCTTTGGTTTCCGGAGCAAAGTTGCGGGGCAGAAGGCTGGGAGAGAGGCTGGAAGGGGCTCGAGCCAGGCAGGCTGCATGCTCCAGGGGCTGACGCAATTGGGGAATTTGACTTCTTTTTATCACATATATCATTTTGCCATATATGGTCACCGAGAGCTACTGGCAGCGAGGCCCAGGTCCAGATGGTGGGCTCCTAGAGTGAAATGAGCTACATACCAGCCCAGAACAAACAGACCATCGCTCACTCCGCTGGACAGGTGGGTGGGCCAAGGGAGGGGTTATATATAGTTCTGGTCACATTCCTTCACTCATGCATCTTGGCCCCCAATTCACAAACAATCTCCATTTCTGGCCCTTTTTACTGAATTTGCTAATTGCTATTCTTCTATAACCAAGGGAACGAAAAAAAATCCCAGAAGGAATGTGGGGGTAGAGACACGCAGGCCCTCCTGTCCCTGCCTTGATCCGCAGCCCTTCCGCTCCTCCCCCACCTTTGCCTTCCTCCCTGGCAGGTCCCTGAAGTCTTTCCCCTCCTCACCACCCCCAGAGGGGCCTCTGCTGCTGACTCTCCTTCTTTCTCCCCTCGCCAACGCCCCCGCTCTTTCCTGCACCCCTTCAGCCCAGGTGAGCTGCCCAGGTGCAGACCAGCCCCTGAGGCTGAGCAAGACTCCAAGAAGTGTGGAGTCACCACAGACAACATCCCCCAGCTCCCAGAACCTTTCCTTGCCAATGGTTAGAGGCTCACCCTTCCCAGCTGCCCCAACCAAGCAAGAGATGCTCTCTCCAGCCTTCCCAGGGTGCAGTCACACCTGGCCTGAAGGTAGCAAAAATGGCAACACAGGAATCCAGCCCCTGAGATGTTAACAGACTCAGATAAATATTGTTGATCCCCAGAAACCCCACCAGAAACTCTCCTCTGAGCCCCTGGGCCATCTCCCACACACTGTCAGGAATTTACTTTCTATTTCTAGCCTGAGGCAGTCAGGATTTCCCAGGCTTACACCTCCAGCCCAGACCCTCCCCTGAGCGCCAAACTTACTCATCAGAGGTGACACTGTTGACCCACCAGGGCGGCGGTGCAAGCCTCAAATATAAACCAATTGGACAGGGTTTAGAGTAGTTCTCGAGTGGTAGGGGCAAGCTTGGGGATGCTCGCAGGAGCAGCTGCACCTCCGACGTCCCAGGCAAGGTAGGCCACCAGCCTCTCCCATGATGTCCTGAAACCATCCTCAGAGAAACCACACTCTGGGCAACATACGGCTTTGGTGACCGCTGTCTTCTAATTCACTCCACATAACAGGAATGGTTCTTCCAGCATTGCACTCCCTGTCCCTCTAGCACAGGGGGACTCAACCCCCACTACACAGGAGAAACACAAGGGAGCTTTTCAGTAAGACTGGTGTCTGAGCCCAGTCCAGAAATTCTTATGTCGTGATCTCAGGCAAGGATATAACACGTATCCCAGGTGATTCTGGTGTGTGCAGACCAGACTGACTCTTTCTGGATTGTCTGACCTGAGACCACCAGCTCCTGATTCCCCAACCTGGGGCATTCTCCGGTCTCCTAAGTAAACCCACTGGCCAGAGTGCTAAAAGGGTCTCTTGTTGGAGGATTAGGATGAGCCTTGGCCTGGGAGTTGGAACCCTAACTCCTGCCTGGCTCTGTCCTGAATGACCAGGGGCCCTGCTATTCATGCTTCTGATTTCTTTTCTTTCTTTTGAGACAGAGTCTCACACTATTGCCCAGGCTGGAGTGCAGTGGCACAATCTCGGCTCACTGCAACGTCCGCCTCCCAGGCTCAAATGATTCTCCTACCTCAGGCTCCAGAGTAGCGGAGATTACAGGCAACCATCACCACCACGACTGGCTAATTTTTGTATTTTCAGTAGAGACAAGGTTTCACCATGTTGGCCAGGCTGGTCTTGAACTCCTGACCTCAGGTCATCCACCCACCTCAGCCTCCCAAAGTGCTGGGATTACAGGCATGAGCCACTGCGCCCGGACTATAATTTCTTAAAACCCAGTTTCTCTTCAACCACAAAATCAGGAGGTAGAGAAGTTTAATAAAGATCAAATAGAATCGTTTATAAAATAGTTATACTGCTGAACAATTGCTATGCACTGAACCATGCTTGGCAAGGAAGACATGTTATTTCCTTTGGTTCTGTTACTCTGCCCACTTTAAAGATAAAAGAACTGAGGCTCAGAGAGGCTAAATCCCTTGGCCGAGGTCCCACAACCACTATGTGGGGAAGCTGGAATGCAATCCCAGAATTGTGTTGCATAAGCAACACCATTGCCTTCCATACCACTCAACTATGAAGGTACTCACTGCCATTTGTCTTTTCCTGGGAGGTCAAGGCTAAACCTGGCAAGACAACTCCAAGAGGGCACTTCAGGTGGTGCAGAGAAACGCCCTTGGCACAATCCTTGATTTGACACAAGCAACGTGGTGTTCCTCTTGTCCCCATTGTGGGCCACCCAGAAGTGGTTTTCCATGCATGCTCCTTCATTTAATAAGAGCACAAAATTGCCGTTGGTCCAAAGATTAGGTGGAGAACGCACAGGGAAAGAGGCCAGCAGCCACTCTCTGTTCAGCAGGAAGGAAAAATAGAAAAGGAGGATGGCTGAGTGAACAGTGGGGTGTCTCCAACCCAGAAAGCAAGCAGCATGTGGGTTCAAGCTTCTGCCTATCTCACCACTCCACTTTCTACATTCTTTTGAGCAGAATCAGAAGGAAGAGGAATTTGAGCTTAGAAGAGGGGTGAGACCGGATGTAGTGGCTCACGTCTGTAATCCCAGCACTTTGGGAGGCCTAGGCGGGTGGATCACGAGGTCAGGAGTTCGACACCAGCCTAGCCAACATGGTGAAACCCTGTCTCTACCAAAAATACAAAAATTAGCTGGGCGTGGTGGCGGGCACCTGTAATTCCAGCTACTCAGGAGGCTGAGACAGGAGAATTGCTTGAACCTGGGAGGCGGAGATTGCAGTGAGCTGAAATCACGCCACTGCACTCCAGCCTGGGCGACAAGAGTGAAACTCTGTCTCAAAAAAAAAAAAAAAAAAAAAAAAAAAAAAAAAAAAAGAAGAAGAAGAAGAGAGATGACAATGAGGTGAGTGTCTTTAGAGGAGTGAAGGTAGAAGGAGCATGAATCAGAAAGCTGGGGTGTGGGAACGGGTTGGCAAATCCAGGAAAAGCCAAGAGGCCAGGTGAGAGAGTCCAGAGAGAGGGTTTTGCCCCTGTGCATTCTCTGTTGACAGCACTTAATGGAATTGGACTTGAGAGATTGGAGTTCAAGAGGCTGCTGATGTCTACTGAGGCATCTGGCCTGGATGTAGGGAAAGCTGCCACCAGTGGGACTTTTGTCACAACGCTGGGACAGTCCGACTGCAGTTAGAGCATGTGTTACTATAAAATTATATTTCTATAAGATAGAATGTAAAGTATAAATACAGAATATAAAATAACTTAGAAAAATATAAAATTATAGTTACATAGCATACGATTATGTATTATCCCTTTCCTCTCATCCTCTTTATTAAACATACACACATAGAGTCAACCCTTAATTTAAAAGTCAAGAAAACCAAGTTTGGAAAGCAATAACTTTTTAAGACAAAATAGAGAGAAACCAGTTCCTAGCTACCTTGGGGCTCCTTTTTCACTCAGGCCAGATTAGAATGATTCTTGCTCTTCTCGCTGATGATTTCTTTTCTGTTCTGTTCTTTTCTTTCTTTCTTTCTTTCTTTTTTTTTTTCTGAGACAAGGTCTCCCTCAGTCATCCAGGCTGGAGGGTAGTGGGTCCATCACAGCTCACTGCAGCCTCGACCTCCTGGACTCAAGCGATCCTCCCACCCCAAACTCCTGAGTAGCTGGGACTACAGGCAGGAGCGATGATACCAGGCTCATTTTTGTATTATTTTGTAGAGACAGGGTTTTGCCATGTGGTCCAGGTTAGTCCCAAACTCCTGGACTCAAGTGATCTGCCCGCCTCGGCCTCCCAAGGTGCTGGGATTATAGGCGGGAGCCACCACACCCCGCCTCCCTGATGTATTTCAGTAAGAGAACACCCTGTCTTTTTGTTTCACCTGCTTGCTTTGATGACACCACACTCCCCTCTCCCCTACAAGGAATTTTTACAAGGCTCAGTTCCACAGCTGCTCTTGGAATTCACACTCCTGATGTTCCAACCGAGCGCTCACGTGCTGCACCACTGGCGGAGCGGATGGAGGGGAGGTCTGGGCTAGGTTTGCAGGTGGGTAAGTCGCCCCGCTCTGGTACCAACAGCCAGTGTCACTATATTACAGAGGATGTGAAGCATCCGCAGCAAACTGCCTCTCTGGCTCTAGTTTTCCACTGCACTCCCAGGGGCAAGAAGCAGGCAAGGAGGAAAAGTTTGTATAAAGTTTCTTGATCCAATCAGGTACGCCCCGAAGGAACTAAGAACCCACCAAAAGGAAGGGCTGACAAGGCCTGGGGGAGTCTGGATCAGGAAAACTAGACTTGGGAGGAGTTCAGGTCTATGGATGATGTCATTGTTTTAAAATGTTTTTATTGTTGAAATGTTCAAACATACACAAAAGTAAATAGTACTAAGAACCTCCTCATACCTGTCATCCCAGTTTTCACAATTATCAACACTGTGTTCTTACTTCATCATTTCCTCCCACATGGTTGTTTCTTTTTTTGTTTGTTTTCCATAAGATTTTTTTTTCACTCTCTCTCTATATATGTATTGTTTTGTTTTGAGATCGAGTATCGCTGTCACCCAAGCTGGAGTGCAGTGGCGCGATCTCGGCTCACTGCAAAGTCTGCATCCCGGGTTCAAGTGATTCTCCTGCCTCAGCCTCCCAAGTAGCTGGGACTACAGGTGAGCGTCGCCACACCCGACTAATTTTTTTTTTCTTTTTTTCTTTTTTTTTTTTTTGAGACGGAGTCTCGCTCTGTTGCCTGGCTGGAGCGCAGTGGCACGATCTCGGCTCACTGCAACCTCCGCCTCCCAGGTTCAAGGATTCTCCTGCCTCAGCCTCCCAAGTAGCTGGGACTACAGGCACCTGCCACCACGCCCAGCTAATTTTTGTATTTTTAGTAGAGACGGGGTTTCACCATGTTGGCCAGCCTGGCCTTGAACTCCTGACCTCAGGTGATCCACCTACCTCAGCCTCCCAAAGTTCTGGGATTACAGGCCTGAGCCACCAAGCCCAGTAAATTTCAGATACATTATTTCACCCATAAATTCATCAGTATTTTGCTCTAACAGATAAGGAATTTGTTTTTCAATCACTGTGCCAATATCATATCCAACAAAAATAATTCCCTCGTATTAAATAATCTGTGTTCTGTTTTCCCTAAGTGTCTCAAAAATGCCCATTTTCGGTCTGTTCAGATTGGGACCCAAATAAGGTTTACACGTTTCACTTGGTTGACACATCTCAAGTCTTTTGATTTATGACAGTTTCCACCTCCCTGCTCCATATATTTCATGGCACTTATTTTTGAGGAAACTGGGTCATTTGTCCTGTAGAATTAGTCACATTGGCTGACTGTATCCCCATGGGGTCTCTTCTGTTCTTCAAAGATAAAGCCGTGTGTTAAAATACCTGAGGTATTCTCAACTCTGCACATCAGGATCACCTGGGAAGATTTTAAACATTTCAGAATTCCTGATCCTTCCCCCTATGATTCTGATTCCTCAAATCTAGGGTAGAGCCCAGGAGTGTATTTTTTTTCAAGCTGCCCAAGCGATTCTGATGTGCATACCCCAGCTGAGAACCACTGACCTTGAGCATCAGGCTTTTCTCAAAAGGGCTACTGGTTATCCAGAAATAATAATAATAATAATATAAAAGAGAAGGAAGTGGAGGAATGGGAAAAGGAGGGGTTGTAGACAAATACTTAGTACCAAGCACTAATGTAGATTAGGATGACGTAGATTGGGATGGTGTTATTGTGAGAAAAATGAGATTCAATTTATGGGTTTATAAATTTAGACAAAGCCAGGCACAGTGGCTGATGCCTGTAATCCCAGCACTTGAGAGGCCAAGGCAGGTGGATTGCTTCAGTCCAGGAGTTCGAGACAAGCCTGAGTAACATGGCAAAACCCTGTTTCTACAAAAAATTAGCAGGGCATGGTGCAGTCCCAGCTACTCGGGAGGCTGAGGTAGGTGGGAGAATCACCTGTGCCTGGGAAGTTGGGGCTGCAGTGAGCGGTGGTTGTGCCACTGCACTCCAGCCTAGACAACAGGACTGAAACCCTGTCAATAAATAAATTTAGACTAAGAAACAAAAACACTGCATGTAAAAATGCTATAGACCTAGTCCAAGACCTAACCTGTTTTAACTCCTTATTCTCCCAAGCAAATATAATTGAGAGATTCCAGATCATTGGTGGGAATCAGACCCTCCACCCAGAATGGGAGTCTGCCCTCCAAAGGGCCGTTTGGTGCCTTCACCTTTCTTATCTTTCCGGGTGTTCTGAACGCCCTCTCTTGAAGATGGATCCACTTAGTAGTAGAGATCAATTTCATCCTTTGTAAGTCTACCTGTGAACAACAGAAAGAAATGAAAAATAATGCCAAATAAGTTTAAAAACGTTGTTACATTTTGTACATAGGAAAAAATCCCTTATTTAGCATATGAAGAAAGCCATATTCTACTAGAATTAAAAGAAAAATAGTGGCCGGGTGCAGTGGCTCATGCCTGTAATCCCAGCACTTTGGGAGGTCGAGGCGGGCGGATCACGAGGTCAGGAGATCGAGACCATCCTAGCTAACACGGTGAAACCCCGTCTCTACTAAAAATACAAAAAATTAGCTGGGCGTGGTGGTGGGTGCCTGTAGTCCCAGCTACTTGGGAGGCTGAGGCAGGAGAATGGCGTGAAGCCGGGTGGTAGAGTTTGCAGTGAGCTGAGATCGGGCCACTGTACTCCAGCCTGGGCGACAGAGCGAGACTCCGTCTCAAAAAAAAAAAAAAAAAAAAAAAAATCAATTTGAAAAGATATCCTTTCTGGTTGCTACATTTCTCACTATTCACCAGATGTGAGTCAATAAATATTAAACAAGATTTAAACTGGAAACAAAACCCAATAAATTTGACTCATTAAAATATAATTTAGATAATACAGACTGAAAAGATACCATAAACAAAATTAAGTCAAAAGCAACAGGTTAGGAGGAAATATTGGCCAGATATTTGACAAATGTTTTTTCCAAAAAACATTAAAATCTCCCATAAATTAGTAAGAAAAATACAAGTAACTGAGTAGGGGGGAAAAGGACAAAATGCACCAACAAATAATTAACAGAAAAGGATTTCCAACTCGCAAAGAAACAAAACAGCATCAATTGCAGTAGTAATCAAAGAAGTACAAATTAAAACAACAATAAGATTTTTTGGGGGGTGGGACGGGGACAGAGTCTTGCTCTGTCACCAGGCTGGAGTACAAGTGGCACGGTCTCAGCTCACTGCAACCTCCGCCTCCTGGGTTCAAGCGATTCTTCTGCTTCAGCCTCCCGAATAGCTGGGACTGCAGGCGCGCGCCACCGCGCCCAGCTAATTTTTGCATTTTTAGTAGAGACGGGGGTCTCACCATGTTGGTCAGGCTGGTCTCAAACTCCTGGCCTCTGGTGATCCGCCCGCCTCAGCTTCCCAAAGTGTTTGGATTACAGGCGTGAGCCACCGCGCCTGGCCACATACTGTTTTTTTTTTTTTTTTAAGAGATGGGACCTCACTGTGTCACCCACGCTGGAATGCAGTGGTACCATCATAACTCCTATAGCCTTGAACTTCTGGGCTCAAGCAATTCTCCCGCCTCAGCATCCTGAGGAGCTGGGACTACAGGTGCTAGCCACTGTGCCCACCAAGATACAATGTTTTAAGCTCATAAATTGGATTAAAAGTTAAACTAGTTAATAACGTATGTTGGCAAGAGTATGAGGAGGTGGATTCTCTTGTTACTTGTGGAAGTATAAACTGGTCAGACTGCAGGTCAATTTGACAGAATCTATGAAAATTTTAAATGCCTGCAAACTTTGACTCAGGTCTTCCACTTCTAGTACCTAATCTGAAGAAACAGTAGCATGTGTGGCCAAAGAGCCTTTTACAAAGGTTCTTTCATTGATTAATTTAGTCAGTGAACATTTATTGAGTGCCTACTATGTGCCAGACACAATTTTAAGCACAGCAGGAACAGGACAGAAAAAGGTTTTGCTTGGAAGAAGTTGAAGTTCTAATGGAAGGAAACAGAACAGTAAACAAATGAACAATCCAACAAACAAAAGATTAAATCAGATAAAGTTAGGCAGTAATAAGTGTTATGATAAAATAGTTAATACAGAATAATAATGAAGAAAAATTGGAACCCACTTAAATGTCCCTCAAGTGGGAAATAGTTTTAAATTAAAATGTCTATATTATGGAATATTATGTTGTATTTTAAAAGGAAGAGATAAGTCTACATGTATTGACATGGTGAGCTCTCCAACACATAAATTTAGGTTTAAAAAAATGCACAAAACCAGCTGGGCACAGTGGTTCATGCCTATAATCCCAGCACTTTGGGACACCGAGACGGGAGAATTGCTTGAGCCCAAGAGTTTGAGACCAGCCTGGGCAACAGAGGAAGATGACTGCTTGAGCCCAAGAGTTCAAGACCAGCCTGGGCAACATGGGGAGACCCTCATCTCTACGAAATTAAAATTAAAATTAAAAAATTAAAAAACTAGCTGAGGCTACAGGTGCACACCACCTCAAGAGACTGAGGTGGGAGAATCGCTTGAGCCTTAGAGGTTGAGGCTGCAGTGGGCAGTGATGGCACCAGTGCACCAGCCTGGGGTGACAGAATGAGATTCTGTCTCAAAAAAGAAAAAGGCCGGGCTCAGTGGCTCACGCCTGTAATCCTGGCATGTTGGGAGGCTGAGCTGGGCAGATCCTCTGAGGTCAGGAGTTCGAGACCAGCCTGGTCAACATAGTGAAACCCCGTCTCTACTAAAAATACAAAAATTAGCAAGGCATGGTGCTGCACACCTGTAATCACAGCTACTTGGGAGGCTGAGGCAGGAGAATTGCTTGAACCTGGGAGGCGGAGGTTGCAGTGAGCCGAGATCATACCACTGCACTGTCACCTGGACAACAGAGCAAGATTCTGTCAAGAAAGAGAGAGAGAGAGAGAGAAGGAAAGAAAGAGAAAGAAAGAAAGAAAAAAAAGAAAGAAAAAGAAAGAAAGAGAAAGAAAAGAGAAAGAAAGGGAAAGAAAGAAAGGAGAGAGGGAGGGAGGGAAGGAAGGAGAGCAGAAAACATAAAAACTTGTAATTTAGTATGTAGAATTTAATCCCATTTAGGTAAAGAAAAAGTACCAAATCATAGACAGCTACATGTATGTATAGAAGTGAAAAGCTCTAGGAGAATACACAGCACATGGCTAACAGTGATTATTTCTAGACAGGGATTAGAATGTAAAGGGAAGTCAAGGGGAATTTATCTTTTTCTGCATGGTTTGAATGTTTTTTACAATGAGAATGTTTTTATAAATGCCTTGCAAATTAAAAAGAACAAAATAACTGTTAAAGAACATAGAAGAGCATGGAAAGTTTCCCAATTCAATTTACAAAACTAGCATAACCCTGATATTGAAACCTGACAATGTTAGCACAAATGAAGAAGACTGGAGATCAATTTCACTCATGAATATGGATGGAAAATTCCTATGTAGAACATTAGCAAATGGAATCCAGCAGTATATTTAAAAAAAACCATGACTAAGCAGGGTTTATTCCAGAATCACAAGGATGGATGAATATCAGGAAATCTAGTAATACAATTTATCAAGACCATCAGTACTGCCCTTGGATCTAGGCAGCAGGGCCCCCCACTCTGGCTCTCCTCCTGCTTCCAAAGGGTAAAGGATTCTTCAGGACCAAAGGAGGGGAGGAGAGGTGGGGAGGGGGAGGGGGAGAGGGGAGGGGAGAGGAGAGGGGAGGGGAGGGGAGGAGAGGGGTGGAGGGGGAAGAGAGGGGAGGAGATGGCGGGGGAGAGGGGGTGGGAAGGGAGGAGATGGCGGGGGAAAGGGGATGGGAGGGGAGGAGAGGGGAGAGTGGGAAGAGGAGGGAAGGGGAAGGGAGTGGAGAAGAGGGGAGGCGAAAGGAGGGGAGGGGAAGGGGAGGAAGGGGAGGGGAGGGGTAAAGAGAGGGGAGGGGAGGAAAGGGGAAGGGAGAGGATGGGAGGACGGGGAGGGGAGGGGGAGGAGAGGAGAGGGCAGGGGAGGGGAGGGGAAGGGAGTGGGGAGGAGAGGGCAGGGGAAGGGAGTGGGGAGGAGAGGGGAGGGGAGAGGAGGAAAGGGGAGGGGAGGGTTAAGAGAGGAGGGGAGGGGAGGGGGGTGGAGGAAAGGAGAGGGAAGGGGAGAGAGAGGGGAAGAAGGGAGGGGAGGAACTTGTTCTGTGTTTCTCCTCCCTTTTAGACCACACTTCTGGTACCAGGACCCCAGAATTCTCTGTCCAAATGGCCTCAGGCCCATTTCCAGGGCTTACAGGGGCCTGTTGCCTTATTCCATCCCTCAAGGGTGACTCTTACAGCAGAGTGGTACCCACCCCTAGGCCTGAGGGGTGGTCAGGATGAAGCTGGCAGTAGGGATGGAGGTGCAGGAGTATGGAGGCTAGACTTGTGGGCTGGGTGTCCATAGCTATGCACAAGAGGCTCCTTGTGATACCAGATGTTGCAAAGGGTAGGAAGAGAAGGGTGGACGGCTGCAGCCAGAGGTCGGCAATGGCAGGCTCTCTCTGCGCTTTCATATTCTAGCATGATTTTTCGAGAAGTATGAGAATTCTGAATTCAAACCTGGCCTCTCAGGTTGTTATGAAGGTGAATACCATGGTAAGAAGTAAGAACCTATTTTATTTAACAGTTTGATGCCTTGGTTTACAATTTCTAAATATTTAGAAAGATAGCAGGACAGGCCTCTGTTTGTACTATTGGCCCGGAGCCCACAGTCATTAAGGGCAGCCAAACAATAATAGAACCCAGGAGATGGCCGGGTGGTGGCTCATACCTGTAATCCCAGAACTTTGGTAGGCTGAGGTGAGTGGATCACCTGAGTTCAGGAGTTCGAGACCAGCCTGACCAATATGGTCAGCCTGACCCCGTCTCTACTAAAAACACAAAAATTAGCTGGATGTGGTGGCACACACCTGTAGTCCCAGCTACTCAGGAGGCTGAGGCAGGAGAATTGCTTGAACCCAGGAGGCTGAGGTTGCAGTGAGCCAAGATCACACCACTGCACTCCAGCCTGGGTGACAGAGAGAGACTCCATCTAAAAAATAAAATAAAAGATTAACTAAAATTTATAAAAATAATGGAACCCAGGAGAAAAAAGCATGAAGGTAACCCAAATAGAAAAGACACTGGGGAGATGAATTGAGAGAAAGGAGACAGTGTAGGAGGGAGGATAAAAATGGGAACATTCTAAAACGCATCACTAGCTACTGGAGGTGTGCTTGCCAATGCCTTCCCTTGGCCAGGTGGGGTGAAAAATACCAGTGTAAGGAGGGGTGAAGAGGGGACCTTATAAACTGTGAAACTTTGAGGCAGCAAGAGTGGGGACTGTCAGCTAAGAGTTGGAAGCAATTTTTTATCTCTAGAAATAGAAATGTCAATTTATACTTAAGGCTGACCGTTTCTATCATTGTTTGTTTTGACAAAATTCACTAGAATTGAACCTTTCTTGCTCAATGATGAAGCAGGTACCCATCTACTGTTCTTAATTTTTTTTGAGACAGAGTCTCACTCTGTCGCCCAGGCTGGAGTGCAGTGGCGCGATCTCGGCTCATTGCAAGCTCTGTCTTCCGGGTTCACGCCATTCTCCTGCCTCAGCCTCCCGAGTAGCTGGGACTAGCCTGCCACCATGCCCGGCTAATTTTCTGTATTTTTTAGTAGAGACGAGGGTTCACTGTGTTAGCCAGGATGGTCTCGATCTCCTGACCTCATGATCCGCCCGCCTTGGCATCCCAAAGTGCTGGGATTACAAGTGTGAGCCACCGCGCCGGGCCCTATTGTTCTTAAAGAAATCGAGACACCACCACAACCCAAATGCATTTCTTAGTTGTTGTGGTTTCTTCGGGTCAGTCTCTGTGTCTGCTGAGTCAAAGTGTGTAAGAATGTGCCATTACTCTGCCTTTTACTACAGAAACGTGGTTTTGTGTTTATTTTTAAAGGAAGATTTGATTTCCAGAGATGAGAATCCCAGGGACAAAACAGAAGACTTCTAAATGATCTTCTATCTTTAACCTTACCCTAACCCCATAATTTTTTATTTCCTACACGGAATGATCTTTTTGCTTTTTTTTTTTTTTTTTTTTTTTTTTTTTTTTCTGAGACGGAGTCTCGCTCTGTTGCCCAGGCTGGAGTGCGGTGGTGTGATCTCGGCTCACTGCAAGCTCCGCCTCCCGGGTTCATGCCATTCTCCTGCCTCAGCCTCCCGAATAGCTGGGACTACAGCCCACCGCCACCACACCCGGCGAATTTTTTGTATTTTTAGTAGAGACAGGGTTTCACCGTGTTAGCCAGGATGGTCTCCACTAAAAATACAAAAATTAGCTGGGCATGGTGGCATGTGCCTGTAATCCCAGCTACTCGGGAGGCTGAGGCAGGAGAACCGCTTGAACCCGGGAGGTGGAGGTTGCAGTGAGCCGAGATTGCGCCACTGCACTCCAGCCTGGCGACAGAGCAAGACTCCATCTCAAAAAAAAAAAAAAAAAAAAAAAAAAAAAAGAGTGCCTCTTATGTTGTGGGCATGGCTTATTTATTCCTACAGATACATTGAAAATAAAATCTCTAAAGAACGTACCAGGATTCATGGTTACCCCTTATTGGGGAAGGACTAGGCAGATGAAACTCAGTGATTAGAGGGAAAATTTTGTACTAGATAATTTGAAACCATTTTTTAAATTTTGAAACAATCTCAAATTTACACAAAAGCTACAAGCATGGTAAAAAAATATCTTTTTCTCCTGAACCATTTGAAAGTAAGTTGTTGATATGATGCCCCATCACCTGTGGATACTTTAGTATCTAAATTCCTACAGGGAAACCCCCACATATGCACAATACAATCAACAAGATCAGGAAATTAACACTGATATATTTCTACCTTTCAAGTGTCCCGATAATGTCCTTTATAGCAAAAGGATCCACTTCATAATCATATGTTGCCTTCATTCTCTTTCAATCTGGATCGTTTCTCAGTCTTTTCGTAGCCTTCAAGACCAGAGAGATTACAGGCCAATAATCAGACGGGGTCTTGCTCTGTTGCCCAGGCTGGAGTGCGGTGGCACAATCTTGACTCAGTGCAGCCTCTGCCTCCCAGGTTCAAGCGGTTCTCATGCCCCAGCCTCCCAAGTAGCTGAGACTACAAGCAGGCACCACCACGCCCAGCTAATTTTTGTATTTTTAGTAGAGACAGGGTTTCACCATGTTGGCTAGGCTGGTCTCGAACTCCTGACCTCAGGTGATCCACCTGCCTCGGCCTCCCAAAGTGCTGGGATTACAGGGGTGAGCCACTATGCCAAGGCATAGGCATGCTGTGATATTTCCTCATGATTAGATTCAGCTTACAAATCTTTGGCGGGAATATCACAGGAGTGACATATGACCTTCTCATTGCATCTATCAATCGGCACACAATTACAATTTGTCCCATTACCGATGACATTAACATTAATCGCTTTATTAATGTGGTGTCTGCCAGGGTTCTCCTTGGCAAAATTCCTCTTTTTCCCTTTCTAACAAATGAGATTTTGTGGGGAAGCACTTGAAGACTATGCAAATGTCTTGTTCTGTTATCAAATTTTCAATTTATTTACTTTTTGATTTATAGTTTTCTATTTTATTACTATTCAACTTCCCATGCTTTTTCTGGAACCATGTGAATGTATTCACTATTTTAAGAAATTAATTTCTAAGAAGAAAGGACCTGAAGTCTAAAAGCTCCACTGATCATAGGTGTTCACTGAATTCATCCTTTTCTTTTGGCAAGGCTTAGGGCATGTATGACCCAAGGTACATGGGGGGTGTGTGTGGTGATGGTGGTGGGGGTGGGAGAGAGTGGAGTGTTAGCAACCCCTGTGGGTCACAGGACTGGGAGTGGGGAGGGGTATTTTGCCGGATGGAAATGGGCGACTATTACCAAAAGCAGGAAGAATGGAAACTGGACATCAAAGACAATCAGTGTCAGCCAAGCACGAGTGGCTCACACCTGTAATCCCAGCACTTTGGGCGGCCGAGGCGGGAGAATCCCTTAAGCCCAGGAGTTACAGTCCAGCCTAGGCAAGCAAGACTCCATCTTTAACAAAAAAAAAAAAAAAAAAAAAAAAATTTTGTTTAATTTAGCCAGTCACAGTGGTGCACCTGTAGTCCCAGCTACTCAGGAGGCTGAAGCGGAAGGATTTCTTGAGCCCTGGAGTTCGAGGTGGCAGTGAACCATGATTGTGCCACTGCATTCCAGCCTGGGTGACAGAGCAAGACCTTCTCTCAAAAAATAATTAATTAATTAAAAAGATAATTAATGCCAAGAAGAGTTCCCAAAGTGCATATAAGAAAAACAAAACACTTGTGGAAAAATAGGAACGCTTTTACACTGTTGGTGGGAGTGTAAACTAATTCAACCATTGTGGAAGACAGTGTGGTGATTCCTCAAGGATCTAGAACTAGAAATACCATTTGACCCAGCAATCCCATTACTGGGTATATACCCAAAGGATTATAAATCATTCTACGATAAAGACACATGCACATGTATGTTTATTGCGGCACTATTCACAATAACAAAGACTTGGAACCAACCCAAGTGTCCATCAGTGATAGACTGGATTAAGAAAATGTGACATATATACACCATGGAATACTATGCAGCCATAAAAAAGGATGAGTTCATGTCCTTTGCAGGGACATGGATGAAGCTGGAAATCATCATTCTCAGCAAACTGTCACAAGATCAGCAAACCAAACACCGCACGTTCTCACTCATAAGTAGGAGTTGAACAATGAAAACTCATGGACACAGGGAGGGAAACATCACACACCAGGGACTGTGGGGGGTGGGGGGCTAGGGGACAGATAACAGGAGAAATACCTAATGTAGGTGACAGGTTGATGGGTGCAGCAAACCACCATGGCACGTGTATACCTATGTAACAGAACTGCACATCCTGTACGTGTAACCGAAAACTTAAGAGTATAATTTAAATAAAAAATAAAATAAAGTTGGGTTGAATTATATTTTAAAAAAGAAGAAGAAGAAAAGAAAAAGGAAACACAAAAAACAGGCTATGACCAGATGGCATTCAGAGTCTACTGTTGGAAAATGGGAAATTTTGGGGCCAGGGATGGTGGCTTACGCCGGTATTCCAGCACTTTGGGAGGCCGAGGCGGGCGGATCACGAGGTCAGGAGATGGAGACCATCCTGACTAACACGGTGAAACCCCGTCTCTACTAAAAATACAAAAAATTAGCCGGGCGTGGTGGCGGGCGCCTGTAGTCCCAGCTTCTCCGGAGGCTGAGGCAGGAGAATGGCGTGAACCCGGGAGGCGGAGCTTGCAGTGAACCGAGATCGCGCCACTGCACTCCAGCCTGGGCGACAGAGCGAGACTGTCTCAAAAGAAAAAGAAAAAAGAAAATGGGATATTTATTGGGATGGAAATGGTGCCCAAAAGTAAAGGAACAAGCCCCAAAACCGGCGGGCGATCATGGGGACAGGGAGGTCCCTGCTTGCTGGCGTGTAGCGTTGGAAGCCAGACCCGTTTCCATGGACCACTCTTCCCAAAAACAATTTCTTGGTAAGAGACTTTAGATGAAAGAACAACTCATGAATTTGCTAGCAGTCCTTCCCAGAGGTGGACATCAGCCCAGCATCTGAACTTTGGCAGCGATACTGGTATGGAGAAAGTTGTCGGCCATTGCTGAACTCTTTATAGACTCCATTTTTTAAACGCAGGAAGTATCTGCCAAATTACCCGAATTATGCTTAATGCCACTCATTCTATTTCTCTCCCCCAGGCTTTTCTCTCCCCACCTCTCAGCCACAGATCTATGGGGTCTGCTTATCGTTCCTGCATGCAGGGGATATTTTAGGAAACTGTTTGTATGTTGGCAGCTGTCCCTGGCCTGACCAGAGCGCACCTCCGCAGACAGACATATTCTGCAGATTTCGAACAAAGCAAATATGTTGATTTTGGCATAGGTTAGCCCCAACTTATCAGACTATATCGCTTGGTCGACTATGAGAAAATATCCAGGGAAAACACATTTTATGACTTTAATTGTTGTTATAGGTGCTTTCAAAAAATAAATCTGTGACCTGTAATATATTTAAGTGAAAGAACTCACATCTGGTTCCGATTAGCTCTGGAGTCTGTTGGCTGACTTAGCACGGGAGCCTTTTCTGGAAGTCAACTCTGTGTCTAGGGATTTTGTTTTCGCCCAAAGAGGCACAGTGAAGACCTTGTTTCAGCACAAAGGCATTAACTGTTAGTGTGACCCCTTGTGAACGTGGAAATGCTAACCAAAGACCTCAAAGTCAGAATCTTGTCCTGGAGGCCTGAGACAGGCAAGTCTAGAGGCAAGAGCGGAACCGATGAGAGAGAACGTTCCAGCTCAACTGACTTGGCATTGAACGTTGCCACTTTAGCCTCCATTCACAAGGAGGACCAGTAGAAGCTTTGCTGCAGACAGTGACACCTCTCACCCTCATTCTGAGTAAGAGGACAAAATCAATAATAAATACAGAGGTATATCTCATTTTCATTATGAGCAAGGTGGTACAACCTGTGACAGACACCCTGGAACCTCTCACTTTCTTCTCACAAGATGGTAACAGCTGTAATCATGGCTCTTATGTAATAAACACATCAGCATGTCTCACTTTCTTTCTGGGGAATATGGCAGGATTCATCATAAAAATGGGTGAAATGAAGCCAACACAGCCAGTAGCTGCACTGCAGCCCATAGATTCTGAGGATTCTACAAAGCAATGTGTAGAATGAGATGCCTTTGACCTGAATTCTCGGGATTTTAAAATCTGCTGACAGTAGCAGTTTCTGGCTAGCAGGGGCATCACAGCTTTTCTTGGATCCCTCTCTGGAGGCAAGAAGAAGATGGCTACAACCTCCAGTTCCTCCCTCTCCCACTCACATTCTTCTGGTGGATGATGGAAGCAGTGAAACTAACCCACCCCAGAGCCGTGTAGGAAAATAGCATTCTGGACTTCTCCTGGGACAGGAGTGGATCTGTTTTGGGGTGGCCTCTTCTCACTTCTCCATCTAGATGGCCCTCCATCCCCTAATTACACCCTGAACTCCAAGAGCTCCATCCTTGTTCAGCTGCACCACGTTGCCTCTCAAAGGAGACAGAGACCAATTTTTACCAGGTACACCTCTGAACAGAGCGAGGTAACGAGATCCTTGAACAAACCTAACTTCACAGGGGAAAGACAGTTTCTTTGCCCAATTGCATGCATATATACATGTAATAGACTTCAGCCTTCAAAAAGTCTTTGACAAGTGGTGCCATGTAAGGCTCCATGAGTCATTGGATGGTTGGTGGTTTTTTGTCACAGGTAGGAAGCTACCTTAGTGGCAAGGATAAATGGGTGCTTCTCTGGATGGAAACGTATGAATAATAATCTTTCAAATAGCCAATGGGCCGGGCACAGTACTTATGCCTGTAATCCTAGCACTTTGGGAGGCTGAGAGGCCAGGAGTTCGAGACCAGCCTGGCCAAGAGACGGTGAAATCCCATCTTTACTAAAAATTGGTGGGGCATGCCTGTAATCCCAGCTACTCGGGAGGCTGAGACAGGAGACTCGCTGGAACCCGGGAGGCAGAGGTTGCAGTGAGCTGAGGTGGCGCCACTGCACGCTAGCCTGGGTGACAGACAGAGGCTCTGTCTCAAAAAATAAAACAAAATAAAATAGCCAGTGATCATTGAGCTTTTATTATGTGCAAGGCATTGCTCTAAGCACATTACAAGTATTAGCTCATCTTAGCCTCACCACAGCCCTCTAAGGGAAGTAATAGTGTGATACCAATTTTACAGATGAGGAAACAGTTACAAAGAGTTTAAGTGACTTGACTAAGCTAGTTCTAGAACAATCGTTGGTGACATTACAATAATTCATTTTGATTTTATAGTAAAATTTCATAGTAAATATGGTAAAATTGTAATGTTTGTGAATGACACAAAAACACTTACAAGTATTGAAAAGTCCATGAGAATAAATTGCAGAAAGACGCTGTTAGGTCCCTGGTCACATTTTTGGCTCTGTCTGTCTTCAGTCTCCCAACAATTCTAACCCTGCGTCATCCCTCAACAATGTCTCCTCCTTCCCAAGCCCTAGCAGCCATCCTTTATTCAGGCCTTTACTCTGTCTGCCTTGAACCCGTCTGATGGCCTCTTAACTAGTCTCTTGGCTTCCTATCACCTCCACACCCCAATTCAGTTAAAACATCACTGCCAGATTAAATGAACACAGTACAGCTCTGTCCTAGGCAAAGCCTGCAGATACCTACATTCAAGGTTGTAGCTAACTTTTCCAGTGTGACTTGAGTTATGCTTTTTGATTCAATACATTTTTGTTGAGCCAAAGTGCTATTGGTAGGTTCTGGAAATTCAAAATGGAAAGGACACAGTACTTGTCCTCAGATTGTTTATCATAGTGAGAAGTCACACTTGTAAACAAACAAATGTAAAATAACAAGATAATTGTTCCAACATAGGAATGGACAAAAGAAATTGGGAGAAGCACCTACCTCTGTCCAGAGGTATCAGAAAGGGCTTCACAGAGAAAGGGAGCTTTGAGCTAACAGGACAAGTGGAATTTCCTAGTGGACCAGCCTGGGGAGTGAGGGCACAGTGAGGAGCGTGCCCTGGTGTGTGCTGGTGGAAAAGCAACTGGCTAAGTCTAGTTAGAGTGCAGGGTTTGATGGAAAGTGCAGGAAGTTGGGGAAACAGGTGACAAGTAACAGCCCTTCATGAGTTGATTTATTGTATGGATGCAATTCCAACTCCTAACTACGGAATTATTTTAAAGTTTGGAAACGTAAGTGTGAGAATTGCCCATGATTTTTTTAAAAAAGAATAAGAAATAAATAAAAAAATTTGCTCTACTAAACATTAAAATATGTTGTAAAATTATCATAGTTGAAACTGTGTGGTCCTGGTGAGGATTAGGAAGATAGATAAAGAAAGAGTAGGAAGTACAGAAATGGAGCCAAGTATGTATTACTAGACTTATGAATAGTAAACGTAGCATCTCAAATCAGGATCAAAGTGATGAATTATTCAAAAGATGATATTGAAACAATTACATGAACTCTTTTGAACAATGTTGGATTCCCTGCCCTTCTGCATGGTTCACGAAATAAATTCTAGATCAGCTCTGTCCAGTAGAAGTAGAATTTTCTGTGAAGGTGGAGATATTCTACACCTGTGCTTCTCAACATGGCAGCCACTAGCCACAAATGGCTACTGAGCATTTGAAATGGAGCTAGTACACTGAGGAGCCACACTTTTTAATTTTAATTGCTTGAAATTTAAATTTACATAGCCATTAGGGCACAGCATGGTTCTAGATGAACTAACAGTACTAATCTATGAAAGAAAAGAAAAATACTAGAATGAAATATAAGTAAATATTTATATAATCTTGGGGTGAAGGTCTTTAGTATAATATCAAAAGCAGACATCACAAAAGAAGAGATTGCTCTGACCAACTAAAAATGTAAAATTTCAGAAGACATGAAAGTCAATGTTAAAAGTCAGAAAAAAATTTACCTCATGTAGGACAGAATTTATATTTATATAAATGATTTATATTTTATATAAAATTATAAATTAATAAATTAATTATAAGTTAACACAATCTTAATATTGTAAATTAACAAAAAATAAAGAAGCCTTAGAAAAATAAACAAAGGACAGGAATAAGAATATCACAAAAGGGCTGGGCGTGGTGGCTCATGCCTGTAATCCTAGCACTTTGGGAGGCCAAGGTGGATGAATCACCTGAGGTCAGGAGTCTGAGACCAGCCTGACCAGCATGGTGAAACGCCGTCTCTAATAAAAATACAAAATTAGCCAGGTGTGGTGGTGCATGCCTGTAATCCCAGCTACGCGGGAGGCTGAGGCATGAGAATTACTTGAATCCGGGAGGTGGAGGTTTCAATGAGCCAAGATTGAGCCACTGCACTCCAGCCTGGGCAACAAGAGTGAAACTCAGTCTCAAAAAAAAAAAAAAAGAATATCACAAAAGAAGAAATACAATTGTCCAATATATATGAAAAAACTTCAACCTCACCACTAATCACAAATTCACCAATCAGAACAACAATGAGGTAATTCTTTGAACTGGTGTTGCCTTTAAAAATGTTGCTACAGGCCGGGTGTGGTGGCTTACGCCAGTAATCCCAGCACTTTGGGAGGCCGAGGCAGGTGGATCACTCGAGGTCAGGAGTTCGAGATCAGCCTGGCTAACATGATGAAACCCTGTCTCTACTAAAAACACAAAAATTAGCCAGTGTAGTGGTGCGCGCCTGTAATCTCAGCTACTGAGGAGGCTGAGGCAGGAGAATTGCTTGAACCCAGGAGACAGAGGTTGCAGTGAGCTGAGATCACGCCACTGCACTCCAGCCTGGGCGACAAAAAAAAAAGAAAAAAAGAAAAAGAAAGTGTTGCTACAGGTTGAGCATCCCTAATCCAAAACTCCAAAATCCAAAATGCTCCAATATCCAAAGCTTTTGAGCTCCATCATGATGCCACAAGTGGAGAACTCCACACATAAGTACTTAACACCAATTTTGTTTCATGCGCAAAATTATTTAAAATATTATATCAAATTATCTTCAGGCTATGTGTATAAGGTGTACATGAATTTCTGTGTTTAGACTTGGGTCCCATCCCCAGAATATCTCATTTGTATATGCAAATATTACAGAATCTGAAAAAAATCCCAAATCCAAAGCACTTCTAGATAAGGAATACTCGACCTGGATAGGCCTTGTTGGTGAGGGGGCAGGGAGGCCAGGCACTTTCTTACATTGGAGATGCAAGTATAAACTGATGCAACCTTCCCGGGATACAATTTAGCAATAAAGATCAAACTACATGGCTGGGTGCAGTGGCCTGTAGGAGTTCGAGATCAGCCTGACCAGCATGGTGAAACCCCGTGTCTACTAAAAATACAAAAATTAGCTGGGTGTGGTGGCGAGTGCCTGTAGTCCCAGCCACTCGGAAGGCTGAGGCAGGAGAATTACTTGAACCCAGAAGGTAGAGGTTGCAATGAGCTGAGATTGCGCCATTGAACTCCAGCCTGGGTGACAGAGACAGATCTCTGAAAAAAAAAGAAAAGAGAGAGAGAAAGAAAGAGAGGAAGGAAGGAAAGAAAGGAAGGAAGGAAAAGAAAAGAAAAGAAAAGATCAAATTACAGGCCAGGCATGGTGGGTCATGCCACCAGCCTGGGCAAAATGGCGAGATCCCATCTGTACAAAAAATACAAAAATTAGCAGGGCATGGTGGCACGTGCCTGTAGTCCCAGCTACTTGGGGGAACTGAGGAAGGAGGGTTGCTTGAACCTGGGAGGTTGAGGCTGCAGTGGGCAGAGATCCCGCCACTGTACTCCAACCTGGGTGACAAAGTGAGAGCCTGTCTCCAAAAAAAAAAGGGTCAAATTACACATTCTTAGATCAAATTTCAGGTGTTCTTATATCCCTCATGTATATCTTACATGAAAACTCACAAATTAAGACCTCTAATGTAGGCTGTATGATGGCCATAATCTGGGTCCCATCTCAGGTTACCTGGCTTTCTTTGTGGCAAAGGGGAGCCAGGTGAAGGTGACAGAAGTCTGGAGAGCTCAAGGAAATCATGGTCACCTCTGTTTCCTGAGCATTTGTTTAGCTGTATGCCAAGCGCTTTGCACACAGCATCTTGTTTAATTATCATGACAACCTTGCAAAGTAGATGATTTTCTCCCCATTTGAATGGTGGGAAGAAGATTCTCCCCACTTTACAAATGCGCAAGCAGGTCCAGAAGGATTCAACAATCCCATCGCGCAGCCAGAAAGCCAAGGTTTGAAGTCAGATCTGCGACTCCAAGCTGTGCTCCTGTGGCTGGCAAGGACTCCGGGGCCACGGGGAGCATTGAGGCCCCCCTGAGATGAACCTGTGGCCCGTAAGACCTTCTGATTAGGAGCAGCAACCCTCACCAGGCAGGGAGACAGGCAGACAACTCTGGGGCCACAAAAAGAGGATCGCTTCAGTGCCCCCTTCCTGGGACCCAAAGCAAAGAAAATTGATGTGTATGTAAGTAGGGAGGCTGGGTTTTAACTAGTCTGAAAAGACTAATTTTTTTGGAGCTGAGACAGGGTAGAGCTCTCAGAAAAGGAATTTGGGGAATTGAGTGTCCTCAGACTTTTCCATCTGCTCTTTGACAAGGACCTGCCAAGTGACGACGGAATGCTGTGTGTGTGCCCGGCCTTGTCTGGGTCATCTGTCTCATGCGTTGGGCTGGGGTGGCAGGTTCTCCAGCCGGGAGGGTGGGGGTAAGCTCCTTGGGAAGGGAGAACTCGGCTGCCGGCTTCCTCCTGCAGCATAGTTCGAGCCTGAGATGGTCTGACTGCTACTCAGATGGAAATGGGGCGGGCGGGGCAAAAGCCAAACAGCATTTGGTCTCCATCAACGCTCAGAAAGCAAGTTGGATCAACACTGCAGTCGGTTAGGTCTATAGTGAGGGAGATGGCCGGGACATTTTCCAGAGTGGTTGGACCTGCTCGCAATGAACAGGACAGGGGCAGGAGAGCCCTGAGAAGTGGTCTCCGCTGGGCAGGGAGGGATGGAATGATGTAGGGTGTGCTGGGACAGAGGAGCATAGAAATCAATTCTTATTTTAAAAATTAGACCTGCCTCTTTCCTCAAGGAAATGAACATTGGGCTTTTGTTTGTGTTTTTAAAGCCTTTGGAAAAAAGTAGCCATGTGAACTTGGACAGTCACGCAGGCTCTGTGGAGACTCAGCTGTCTTACCCGTGGGGCAAGGAGCTGAGCCAGAAGGTATTCTGTTGAGGTCCCTTTTAGTGTGAAGGTCAGGGGTACTCACTCTTCCTCCAAGATAAGATTCCTTGGGATGTTTGTTTAAAACATTCCCAAGTTCTGCCCCAGACGTATTCAATCAGAATCTCCAGGAGGCAGGCCTGGGAGTCTATATCTTAATCTGCACCCTGGACGAGTCTTATGATGTCAGGGGTGTATTACATTCTTACATCAGGAAAAGTCAGGGATTGCTTGTTGGTGACAGGATATCTCTGAGCTTCCCTAGCCCTGTTTTGCAGAAAGGAGGAGAAAAGAGAGACTGGGGCTTGGAGCACTAACCTTTAAGGGGGCCTATGGTCCCTGAGTCCTTCTGTCCCCTTTGGTGTTCCCAGCAACCCCAGAGCTCTGAGGCTCTTCTATGAACTTGCTTTGCTTACACCTGGACACCCAGAAGGAGCATCAGGGGATCAGCACTGGGTTTGGGGAGGCACAGCCCAGGACAGGGTTTAGAAAACTGGGGTTTTGGTGTGGCTCTACCACTGATCTTGGCAGAGCAGCTTTGCAGTACCTTGGGTTAGGGCTTGACTTTCCTGGGCCACAGTTTCTTCATCAATAAAATGGAGACAATTAATGACTAACTCACTGACTGTCCAATAGTCAATAAAGATTCTGGAGCTCTAACTGTTAGGGACTGTCTTTTTGGCCAGCAGGAAGTATTCAGTGAGGTACTAGCAGAGGAAATGCTTTGAGCAGTATGAAGCTCCTTATCAGCATTTCCCAAGGGACGCACCATGGATGTGGGCTGTTAATCATGTTCCACAAAAATAAAAAGGGCTCTGTGTTCTGTTGAGGAAATGCTTGATTAAATTGAATTAAATAGTCTTTGATTTAGGACTGCTCTGGGTCTTTTATTGAATGTGCACTGTGACTTGCCAGGGCAAGTGTGTGTGTGTGTGTGTGTGTGTGTGTGTGTGTAGGAAAATGTAATCAGACCTCCCCAGACTTGCTTGTTTGGTGATACCATTAATTAGTGAAACACTTCTCATTTTGTCCTCCTTTTAAAAATTCTGGTAAAATAATATGTAACACAAAGTTTACCATTCCGGGGGCATTAAGTATCTTCACGCTGTAACAATGTGCAATCATCACTATCATCCATCTGCACAGCTTTTTCATCTTTCCAAACTGAAACTCTGTATCCATTAAACAGTAACTCCCCATTCCCTGATCTCCTGGCTCCTAGCAAGCACCATTCTACTTTCTGTCTTTATGCATTTGACTACTCCAGCTACCTCATATAAGCAGAATTGTGTAATATTTGTGCTTTTATGTTGGACTTATTTCACTTAGCATAATGTTCTCAAGCTTCATCTGTGTTGCACCAAGTGTCAGAATATCCTTCCTATTAAGGCTGAATAATTGTAGGACCATATGTATATGCTACATTTTATCTATCCACTTATCCATTGATGGAGATTAGGGTTGTTTCTTCCTCTTGGCTATTGTGAATCATGATGTTGTGAACAGGGGAGCATACATATCTGTTCCAGTCCCCACTTCGATTCAGAAGTGAAATTGCTGGATGATAGAGCATCTCCTGGGCTAGTGTTTTGTGGAGCAAACTTTGGAAAGATTGCTCTCGGCCGGGCGCAGTGGCTCAAGTCTGTAATCCCAGCACTTTGGGAG